>NC_000009.12:100644794-100796309 GCF_000001405.40 Homo sapiens
AATTGAGGAGGTGGAATAGCAACTTCAGGAAAACTTCAAGAAATGCAGTGGTAGCTAGAAGGAGATATAGGATCAAGACATCCCTCCCTCCCTCCCTCTCTTCCTTCCTTTCTACCTTCCTTCCTTGCTCCCTCTGTCC
The DNA here is from genome assembly GCF_000001405.40 of Homo sapiens. NCBI lineage: Eukaryota > Metazoa > Chordata > Mammalia > Primates > Hominidae > Homo > Homo sapiens. The sequence continues at coordinate 100,644,934 of NC_000009.12, forward strand.
CTCCCTTTCTCCTTTCCTTTCTCCTTCCCTCACTTCTCCTCTCCCTCTCTCTGTATTGGTTTCTTTCTTTCAAGACAGTAGTCACTAAAGCATGCTTGTGCTAATGGTAATGGTGAAGTAGAGAGGGAGAAACTGAAGATGTAGGAGAGAGAAGGGAATTTCTTGGGAAGGTAAGGAGGAGGAAATCCAGATTCCAAGTGGAATAACTGGCATTCGGTAGGAGTTGGGACACCACATCTGTTGTAATGGGAGGGAGGGCAGAATGTAACTGTGTCAGTTAGCTTTGAGTTTGGCTGTAAATAATGAAAACCCCTATTAAAGTAGTTTAAACAAGGAAAGGGTTTAATTTTCTCCTGTAACAATAAGTCTAGAAGAGGCCATTCATGGCTGGAGCACTGACTCAAGGTGCCTTCTGTCTTCCTCCTTTGCTGTTTAGTGTGTGGCTTCCTTACAGTCACAAGACAGTGGCTGTATTTCTAGGCTTTGAGTTTTCCTTTCAGTCAGAATAATGGGCAAAGACAAAGAGCAAATGGCAGAGGGTAAAAGGAGCATGCCAGCTGCGTCTGCTGCTTTTTTGAAAAGCATTCTCAGAAGCTCCTCCCAGTCGCCTCACTTACATCTTATTGGCCAGGTTTCATGGCCATCTCTAGTAGCATGGGAAGAACTTGTTAGGTAGGATGAAGGAAGAATGGATATTGGGCAAGCAGTTAGCCAGTTCTGCTGCTTTAATGTTGTCAACCATAATATTATTGTGAAGGAAAAGGATCAAGAGGTCTTTCATTCAAGATCACTTCTCCCAACGAAGTTGGGGCTTTAAAAATAGAGTTAACTCTTTTGTAAAGAACTATGATGACTGGTGTTCTATAACCTTTATAGAAACCATAGTAATATTTGATTTATACACTCAAGAAGCTTTTTCTCTGTCTCAGAATTTCCTCTAAGTTGTGATTTTATTTTTTTTAATTTTACTTTAAGTTCTAGGGTACATGTGCACAACGTGCAGGTTTGTTACATATGTATACATGTGCCATGTTGGTGTGCTGCACCCATTAACTCGTCATTTACATTAGGTATATCTCCTAATGCTATCCCTCCCCTCTCCCCCCACCCCTCACAGGCCCCAGTGTGTGATGTTCCCCACTCTGTGTCCATGTGTTCTCATTGTTGAATTCCCACCTATGAGTGAGAACATGTGGTGTTTGGTTTTCTGCCCTTGCGATAGTTTGCTGAGAATGATGGTTTCCAGCTTCATCCATGTCCCTACAAAGGACATGAACTCATCCTTTTTTAAGGCTGCATAGTATTCCATGGTATATATGTGCCACGTTTTCTTAATCCAGTCTATCATTGGTGGACATTTGGGTTGGTTCCAAGTCTTTGCTATTGTGAATAGTGCTGCAATGAACATACGTGTGCATGTGTCTTTACAGCAGCATGATATATAATCCTTTGGGTATATGCCCAGTAATGGGATGGCTGGGTCAAATGGTGTTTCTAGTTCTAGATCCTTGAGGAATTGCCACACTGTCTTCCCCAATGGTTGAACTAGTTTACAGTCCCACCAACAGTGTAAAAGTGTTCCTATTTCTCCACATCCTCTCCAGCACCTGTTGTTTCCTGACTTTTTAATGATCGCCATTCTAACTGGTGTGAGATGGTATCTCATTGTGGCTTTAATTTACATTTCTCTGATGCCCAGTGATGATGAGCATTTTTTCATATGTCTTTTGGCTGCATAAATGTCTTTTGAGAAGTGTCTGTTCATATCCTTCACCCACTTTTTAATGGGTTTGTTTGATTTTTTTCTTGCAAATCATGTGTAGAGGGAAATGTATAGCACTAAATGCCCACAAGAGAAAGCAGGAGAGATCTAAAATTGACACCCTAACATCACAATTAAAAGAACTAGAGAAGCAAGAGCAAACACATTCAAAAGCTAGCAGAAGGCAAGAAATAACTAAGATCAGAGCAGAACTGAAGGAGATAGAGACACAAAAAACCCTTCAAAAAAGCAGTGAATCCAGGAGCTGGTTTTTTGAAAAGATCAACAAAATTGATAGACCACTAGCAAACTAATAAAGAAGAAAAGAGAGAAGAATCAAATAGACGCAATAAAAAATGATAAAGGGGATATCACCACCGATCCCACAGAAATACAAATTACCATCAGAGAATACTGTAAACACCTCTATGCAAATAAACTAGAAAATCTAGAAGAAATGGATAAATTCCTGGACACATACACCCTCCCAAGACTAAACCAGGAAGAAGTTGAATCCCTGAATAGACCAATAACAGGTTCTGAAATTGAGGCAATAATTATTAGCCTACCAACCAAAAAAAGTCCAGGACCAGATGGATTCACAGCCGAATTATACCCGAGGTACAAAGAGGAGCTGATACCATTCCTTCTGAAACTATTCCAATCAATAGAAAAAGAGGGAATCCTCCCTAATTCATTTTATGAGGCCAACATCATCCTGATACCAAAGTCTGGCAGAGACACAACAACAAAAAAAGAGAATTTAGACCAATATCCCTGAAGAACATCGATGCAAAAATCCTCAATAAAATACTGGCAAACCAAATCCAGCAGCACGTCAAAAAGCTTATGCATCATGATCAAGTAGGATTCATCCCTGGGATGCAAGGCTGGTTCAACATACACAAATCAATAAACATAATCCATCATATAAACAGAACCAAAGACAAAAACCACATGATTATCTCAATAGATGCAGAAAAGGCCTTTGACAAAATTCAACAGCACTTCATGCTAAAAACTCTCAATAAACTAGGTATTGATGGGACATATCTCAAAATAATAAGAGCTATTTATGACAAACCCACAGCCAATATCATACTGAATGGGCAAAAATTGGAATCATTCCCTTTGAAAACTGGCACAAGACAGGGATGCCCTCTCTCACCACTCCTATTCGACATAGTGTTGGAAGTTCTGGCCGGGGCAATCAGCCAAGAGAAAGAAATAAAGGATATTCAATTAGGGAAAGAGGAAGTCAAATTGTCCCTGTTTGCAGATGACATGATTGTATATTTAGAAAACCCCATTGTCTCAGCCCAAAATCTCCTGAAGCTGATAAGCAACTTCAGCAAAGTCTCAGGAGACAAAATCAATGTGCAAAAATCACAAGCATTCCTATACACCAATAACAGACAAACAGAGAGTCAAATCATGAGTGAACTCGCATTCACAATTGCTTCAAAGAGAATAAAATACCTAGGAATCCAACTTACAAGGGACGTGAGGGATCTCCTCAAGGAGAACTACAAACCACTGCTCAGCGAAATAAAGGAGGACACAAAAAAAAGGAAGAACATTCCATGCTCATGGATAGGAAGAATCAATATTGTGAAAATGGCCATACTGCCCACGGTAATTTATAGATTCAATGCCATCCCCATCAAGCTACCAATGACTTTCTTCACAGAATTGGAAAAAACTACTTTAAAGTTCTTATGGAACCAAAAAAGAGCCTACATCGCCAAGACAATCCTAAGCCAAAAGAACAAAGCTGGAGGCATCACGCTACCTGACTTCAAACTATACTACAAGGCTACAGTAACCAAAACAGCATGGTAGTGGTACCAAAACAGATATATAGACCAATGGAACAGAACAGAGCCCTTGGAAATAATACCACGCATCTACAACCATCTGATCTTTGACAAACCTGACAAAAACAAGCAATGGGGAAAGGATTCCGTATTTAATAAACGGTGCTGGAAAAACTGGCTAGCCATAAGTAGAAAGCTGAAACTGTATCCCTTCCTTACACCTTATACAAAAATCAATTCAAGATGGATTAAAGACTTAAATGTTAGACCTAAAACCATAAAAACCCTAGAAGAAAACCTAGGCAATACCATTCAGGGCATAGGCATGGGCAAGGACTTCATGTCCAAAACACCAAAAGCAATGGCAACAAAAGCCAAAATAGACATATGGGATCTAATTAAACTAAAGAGCTTCTGCACAGCAAAAGAAACTACCATCAGAGTGAACAGGCAACATACACAATGGGAGAAAATTTTTACAATCTACCCATTTGACAAAGGGCTAATATCCAGAATCGGATGTGATTTAACCACATTTCTTTTTGTTCAGTCTTCCAGAGAGATGGAGTAAAACCAATAAGCATCAATCAATTACCTGGAGCCTTGAAATAGCATGAACTAGCAGTCCTCCAATGAATCAGTGAGAAAAGGCATTGGGAGATGAACTATAGGTATAATTCTCTTACAGCTTATTGAGGGAATTAGGGAAATACAAAATGAGGAAATGTGCACACTGCTTTTATTGGAAAATAATTGGTTCGAGTGAATTTTTGTACAAATGGAGAGGGGGTGTTATGGCTTTTATTGATGGGTATGAAAATTTGAACACATATAATAATGAAAATATTCTAGATATTCTAAAACACTGCAGAAAGACAATTGCATGGCAAGAGAAAATGGTTTGGAAGCATTGAGGTGTCACCCACAGGAGGAAGGAGAGACAAGAGCATGGTGCTTCAGTGAAGGCGTTTCTGTGTCTGAATTAACTGGGGTTGCCATGTGTCAGTCTCTTCTGACAGTTGGTGTTTTTCTGGGTTGGTGGTTTTATCTCCCTCGTGTGCTCATTGGCAGGGTAAAGACTAGTATCAGGCAGCCATTATAAAAGGGAAACATTTAAAAATGTCATCTTTTTGTGGATTTTCCAAGTATGCTTTAAAAGAAGGAAACTAATGTCCTTTGAAATTAATTTTTTTTTCCTTTGCATGCTATTCTTGGCCCATCTATCAGACTAGAAAATTACTACTCTCTTCTCTCTTACTACAACCTTCAATTTTGGAGCTCTTAAAAAAAAGTTAGGGAATGGTTCCATAATCCCAGAAAATTTTAGTTAGTATGAAATGCTCTTCCTCATCCCCTACACATGCACACATGCTGCAGCAGAGTGATGGCTACATTCACTCTGAACCTAAACTCCCATGTTACACATGCATGCATGCGAGCATGTGCACGTGCACACACCTCTGTCACAATGGAGTTGAGTGAATCTCTGCCAGGTAAAAAGGCTGTCTATCATTAATAAGACTTGCTCACGGTAGATTCTAATTAGAAGGCTAATGAATAGGAGACACTTTCATTTTTGATTGATTTGATAGCAGACATTAAATTCCTAAGTATTTGGAAATGGAAAAGGGCTTTAATTTTAAGCATTCTACAGACTGATTTTCATCACTGACCATATATTCATGGCCTTGAGAAGGTGGTATTTGAGCTGGTGTTGAAGGATTTTGTCAAGAGGGAAGGGAAAAACAGCCTTTCAAGCAAAGGGTACAGTGTGAGCATGGGTAGGAAGGCAAGGCATTGCATGGTATACAGAGTAAATGGAAAGTAATCTGATGAGGCTTTGGGTAATACGATGATGGGACAGGAAATTGGAGATAATCTTTGGAACAAGGTTTTGGAAGGCCTTGGATGAGACTGAGGAGTTGAATTTTATTCATTAGGCAGGAAGATTTTTGAAGGTGGAAGTGATCTGATTCATATATTGGGAAGACAATTTATAAAATAATAAACTTAATTATATTGTACAGAATTCTTATATGTATACAGAATTCTAGAGTTTATGTGGCTTTTCCATGTACTTTAAAAGCATTTGGTTCTACAGAATGAAGTAGATAAAGCCCTGTATGGAATTGGGATTAAGAATGCATGCCATATGAAACCTGTTTGATCACTGGAACTGACCCCGATTATTTGAAGAGTTCTATAGAGGGTGTAGATATGTATTGTCTCCACAGGAGAGTAAGAAGCTTAGGATTAATTTAATTCCTCCAAAAAGTCTTTAAAAGTTAGTAAGATGGAAACATAAGTAAAGAACAATTTAGAAAACATCAAAATTATCATCTCTGAAAATAACTATTTAAAAAATTTGATGTATTACCTTACATTCTTTTTGCTACACATATTTATCTGTCCATCCATTCATTTCATTTGATACAACAAAAATGTATAGATATTTTGGTAGATTATATAGATACAAGGTTATAAGAGATCAGTATATGCCATCCCAAAATGTGCCACACTGGCACGAGGATTATTTTGAGCTGAAGGCAATAGAGGATAAGCAGGTATGAGAAAAACTCTCTGCTTTCTCCCTATTTTCCTAGAAGCAGTACATAGACTTATAAAGACAAAGTTGTCTTCCCCTCTCTACCAGGAAGGACAAAGTTTAGTCACTGAAAACAACTTTTGATGTTTAATATCCTGGAGATGGTCAGAGGAATCTATAGAACAAACTTTACTAACTAGCCTTTATCTGCCATTTATTTGCCTTCCCCAAATTTACCACCCCTAGAGACTCTAAGTTCTTTTACTTTGTCTTGGCACTTTTCTAAAAATTTACTGTTTTCTGTTAAATATACCCTATGAGCTGGAATTCAAAGCCACTTCTTGGAGAATTACCCATCTCCTGGGTATTTCCCATGTATATATGAAATATACATGTTAATAAACTGTTTTTACCCCCTCTTGTTAACCTGTTTTTGTTACATAAGTCCATTCTAACTAATAACCCAGAAAGGGTAGAGGAGAAAATTATTTTTTTCTCTCTTACAAGGTAGATAAGACAAACACAGTTCCTGTTCTTTTGGGGCTTATGGTTTAATTTATTCTTTTTGCACAGTTATAATCACATAATAACCACATCTGTTTCTTTAAATTAACATTTTACAATTATTATCATTATATCATTTGTACTTGCTGTGCCATTATAGATGTGTTATTTGCATATTATTTTACCTCGTAGGTGTATCGTGTATTTTTTTCTGTTGTTAGATGTTTAGATGGCTCTCATTTTTAAAAATTATAAATTACTTTTCAGTCAATAATATACATAATTTTTTCTACATTTTAGACTTTTTCCTTAGAAAAGATTCCTGCAAGAATTGCAGAGCCAAAGGGAGTAAACATTGATAAAGCTTTTGTAGGAATCATTGCTTAACTAAAGGTTGATGGACACTGATTCTCTATTCAGCAGTGTAAGAATAAGCCCATCTCACAGCAACCTCACCGTACTGGGCACTAATTACTATTATTAAAAAATTAATTTGACAAGTGAAAAAAGGCAGCCGTTAGTGGCAATATCTTCATTAGAAAGGACTATTAGATGACTCCATTTGTCAGAAAATGCAAGGGGATATCTTCTGCTGTTGTGAACTTCTTGTGAATGGAGGTATGCCAATTCAGACTATATAATCATGTGATTATTAGTCTAGAACCACTCCAAAGTTTTGCTTTTTTCCTAAAGTATTTTGCTTCTCTTCTGTGGTAGTGATCTAAAGTTAGCTTTATGAAAATGTGCTATTTTATTGATAATGGAGAGAAGGTCATTTGATAGGGAAACATAAAGTATGTGTAAAAAAAACTTTCAATAATGCAAATAGTATGTATTAGGTTGGTGCAAAAGTAATTGCAGTTTTTGCCATTACCATTACTTTCTTTCTTTCCTTTCTTTTTTTTTTTTTGGAGACAGAGTCTTGCTCTGTCGCCCAGGCTGGAGTGCAGTGACATGATCTTGGCTCATTGCAACCTCCACCTCCCAGGTTCAAGCGATTCTCATGCTCAGCCTCTGGAGTATCTAGGACTACAGGCATGCGCCACCACGCCCAGCTAATTTTTTATATTTTTAGTAGAGATGGGGTTTCACCATGTTGGCCAGTCTGGTCTCGAACTCCTGACCTCAGGTGATCCGCCCGCCTCCGCCTCCCAAAGTGCTTGGATTACAGGCAGGAGCCACCACACCCGGCTTGCCATTACTTTCAATGGCAAAAACCACAATTACTTTTGCACCAACCTGATAATTAGAAACTGTAAAGAGGCTTGTAATATTTAATGAAAAGAACCGCCAAAAAGAAACAGAAGTACCTGCAAAGCAGAAAGGAAGCAAACCAAACACTCAGCAGTTCCAAGGGAAACAATGGATCACCGCCACCAGGGCTTCAGATACAGATATGCCATAAGTATTAATTGCTATGTTAGAAGAGAAACAGCCTAAAAATATGTGAACAAGGCTGGGCCCTAGAGGTACTAATGGCAGTGGAAACGGTTGCCATGACAACGACAAGGAAAAGTCAACCAAAGGGATTACTAATACATATGAGTGTAAATGTGCCTGACATTGAATAATGTGAGCCAATTCCTTGGCAGATTCCAGCACTATTTTTGAATCTGAAAAAAAAAATGTTTCAGCATTTATCACATGCAGGTTTTATTGTGTGGATTTTATGGTAAGGGGTAACTAACTTTTTCATAAGAGGTGGGCTTAATCTTAAAAATAACTTTTATTATAAGAATAACCTAGGAACATTAAAGGATATTTTCAAAAGACAAAAGAAATTGCTTGTCATCCTCATCAATACAGCAGCTTGCCTTTTTCTTCTCTTCTCTATATCCAAGTGCATTTTTATATAACTGTAATCTTAGTATTCTGACATTTTTGCATTCTGCTTTTATTATTTAACCTCATATCTGTAGCATTTTCCGTATTTTAAATTCAGCTTCATAATTATCAGTTAAAATTTCTGCACAGTAGTCAATTGCATTATGTCATTTACCCAACCATTCACCAATTAGAAGGTACATATGTATTATTGACAAACTGTGTTATAGGCAATGCAGAGAGAAAAGGTAGAGTTTAGATTAGCATTACTGAAATGCTGGCTCTTAACATTACAGAGAGTTGAGCTTGTGTTTGGGCCATCATGCATTACAATACACAAATATCTGTGAGTCGGAGGGTGGGAGGGGTCAGCAGTTCTTGATTATTAGGTGGTGCCAACAATTAATAGGATAGGGAAGAATGCTTTTCTCATTATGCTGCATATTGCTTTATAACGCACATCTGCTCCCATACCTTGGGCTCTGCTGCAATCCCCCAGTGGTTTTCTGAAAGACCATTTCTTACCCCAAATGAATCTGTCCATAATAATTATTATGGTAAAAGTAAAAAAAAAAAAAAAACAAAAAACCTCAGCTAACATGAGTGAAGAAAAGTAACTATATATCATAGAATGACAATTGTCCCTTGCATTTGCAGTAAATCAGGTATCTTTTTCACCATGTATTGGAAGCGTTTCTGCTTGGCTTCATATGCTGTACCATTCATCTTGTTTTGTGTACATAATGGCGCTATTGGCTCTGAATGACTGCATCAGTGTTTCAGGTTGTTAATAGATCCATTTGCTTCCATAAGGAGGCTTTCTGAATGTATGGCAGTTCTACTATCAGTCTGCATGATTAGCAAATCAAAGGACAGCCCCATAAGTCACTACATGTAGATGCATACTTGAACTTGGGAAATTCAATGCCAGCTTAATGCCACTGATGATGGATTAATGGCAGACAGAGAGTGGAAACAATTGTTACCAAAACTACTGTTTTGACGACCACTCAATTACTGAAGAGTTGGGCTAATTCAAATTGACTGAAGGATGTTGGTTTTGTGTAATTGTCATTAAAATACACAATGAATAATGATAAATTCGCATTTTGCATCCCAATTCGTTATTTGGCTAGAAGGAAGAATAGAAGGATTTGAGGAAGTACAGGAATAAGTGAAAAGGGTTTAGGAGAATGGAATATACACCAAGGAAGGCAAACAAAGACACAAGACCAGGAAATTGGTCCCAATCATCAGCCACACTCATTTAGGAAATTTTTTTGGATACTCAGAGTTGTTAGCAAACCACATGGTTTGCTAACTGTGTTGGGATTTCTTCTATGTTCAGAGATGCCTGTGGGCAGCATTTGAGAATCTGACTTTAAATTTCTGCCACTTCATTTAGGACACTTTGAAGTTGAAAAATTACTGCTTCTTTTTCTCAAACCAGAAAGGGCCCATAACGAAGACCTTTATTGTGATGAATATATTCTTGTCTTAGTTCATACTGCTATAACAAACTATCTTAGACTGGGTGGCTTACAAACAATAGAAATTTATTTCTTGTGTTCCTGGAGGCTGGGAAGTCCTAGATTCGGTGTTGGGCGAGGGCTTACTTTCTGGTTTTTAGACACTCATGTTCTTTCTGTGTCCTGACACAACAGAATGGGCAAGAGAGCTTCCTGGGGTTCCTTTTATATGGGCACTAATCCTAATTCTGCCCTCATGACCTCATTACTTCCTGAAGGCCCCACCTCCTAATACCATCACACTGAGGGTTAGGAGTTCAACCTATGAGTTTTTGGAGGGACACAAACATTCACTCTATACCCTAAACTAATGGCTGTGCTAGGAAGTTCAAATACTGAGGAAAAGGTGATTCTATTTCTCATTGTGAGAGGAACAGCAAATTGTGGAAAGGGACCCCAAAGATCTCAGATATAAGGGTTGGGAGGGAGAAAGGATTAGAGCAGTGATTTTCAAACTTTGGCCACAACTCACAGTTGCATATTTTACATGGCTTTCCAGTGTGGGTGTGCAGGCACAACACCAGAACATTTTTTATGAACATTCTTATCCTTACTATTTAAGGCTGGTGTCTTTTCATCAAACACAGCACCATCAGTCTACTGACAAGACAACATACATTAATTAATCTGATTTTTTTCCTGACAATGACCCTAAGCAGATATTATTGTACTGTTTTCTAGATAAGGAAACTGGGGCTCTCAGAGGTAAGATTGCTGACTATGCTCACATGGCAGTTAAGGAAAGGAGCAGAGGTATAGGTCTGTCTCTGACTAACCTGAGCTGAGCCATCCTCCATGTGCTAACTGGAGTTTTCCCTCAGTTTGATTCTGACTTTTTATTAGCAACTAAAAAAATGGGAGACAGATGATCAGCTAACTGTGATATTCAAGGAACTTCTCAGAAACCCAGGCTTTCAGAGATAATATGGCAGCTGCAAAGCCCTGTGATTAAGCATGGGCTCCATGAGGCAGACTGCCTGTTCTGACTATTGTTGCCCCACACTGACCAGCTGTTGGACCTTGGGTGGGTTAAAACTCTCTAAACATCACTTTCCTTGTCTATAATGTTAATATAGCCTCCTTTTAGGCTTGCCGATAGATACGTTAATTGATTTCACTATAGTAACTGATATGGTTTGGCTGTGTCCCCACCCAAATCTCAATTTGAATTGTATCTTCCAGAATTCCCACATGCTGTGGGAAGGACCTAGAGGGAGGTAATTGAATCATGGGAGCTGGCCTTTCCCATGCTATTGTGGTGATAGTGAATAAGTCTTATGAGATCTGATGGGTTTTTCAGGGGTTTCTGCACTTGCTTCTTCCTTTTTTCTCTTGCTGCCCCCATGCAAGAACTGCCTTTTTCCTCCCACCATGATTGGGAGGCCTCCCCAGCCATGTGGAACTGTAAATCCAATTGAGTCTTTTTTTGTTCCCAGTTTCAGGTATGTCTTTATCAGCAGCATGAAAATGGACTAATAAAGTAAATTGGTATCAGTGGAGTGGGGCATTGCTGAAAAGACACCTGAAAATATGGACGCAACTTTGGAACTGGGTAACATGCAGGGGTTGGAACAGTTTGGAGGGCTCAGAAGAAGACAAGAAAATGTGGAAAAGTTTGGAACCTCCTAGAGACTTGTTGAGTGGCTTTGACAAAAATGCTGATAGTAATATGAAAAATAAGATCCAGGCTGAGGTGGTCTCAGATGTGAATGAGGAACTTGTTGGGAACTGGAGCAAAGGTGACTCTTGTTATGTTTTAGTAGAGAGACTGGTGGTGTTTTGCCCCTCCCCTAGAGATTTGTGGAACTTTGAACTTGAGATTGATGATTTAGGGTATCTGGTAGAAGAAATTTCTAAGCAGTAAAGCATTCAAAAGGTGACTTGGGTGCTGTTAAAAGCATTCAATTTTAAAAGAGAAACAAAGCATAAAAGTTCAGAACATTTGTAGCCTGATGATGCAGTAGAAAAGAAAAACCCATTTTTTGAGGAGAAATTCAAGCTAGCTGCAGAAATTTGCATAAGTAGCAAGGAGCCTAATGTTATTCCCCAAGGACCGTGTGGGAAAATGTCTCCAGGCCATGTCAGAGAGCTCCACAGCAGCCCATCCCATCACAGGCCCAGAGGCCCAGGAGGAAAAAATGGTTCTGTGGGCTGTGCCCAGGGTCTCCATGCTGTGTACAGCCTAGGGACTTGGTGCCCTGCATCCCAGCCACTCCAGCTGTGGCTGAAAGGGGCCAACGTAGAGCTTGGGCTGTGGCTTCAGAGGGTGGAAGCCCCAAACATTGGCAGCTTCCATGTGGTTTTGAGCCTGTGGGTACACAGAAATCAAGAATTGAGGTTTGGGAATCTCCACCTAGATTTCAGAAGATGTATGGAAATGCCTGGATGCCCAGGCAGAAGTTTGCTGCAGGGGCAGGGCCCTCATGGAGAACCTCTGCTAGGGCAGTGCAGAAGCAAAATGTGGGGTTGGAGCCCTTACACAGAGTCCCTACTGGGGCACTGCCTAGTGGAGCCGTGAGAGGAGGACCACCATACTCCAGACCCTAGAATGGTAGATCTACCAACAGCTTGCACCAGGTGCCTGGAAAAGCCACAGACACTCAATACCAGCCCATGAAAGCAGCTGAGAGGGAGGCTGTACCCTGCAAAGTCACAGGGGCAGACCTGAACAAGACTATGAGAATCCACCTCTTGCATCAGTGTCACCTAGATGTGAGACCTGGAGTCAAAGGAGATCATTTTGGAGCTTTAAAATTTGACTGCCCTGCTGGGTTTTGGACTTGCATGGGCCCTGTAACCTGTTTATTTTGGCCAGTTTCCTCCCATTTGGAAAGGCTGTATTTACCCAATTTTCATTGTATCAAGGAAGTAACTAGCTTGCTTTTGATTTTGTAGGCTCATAGGTGGAAGGGACTTGCCTTGTCTCAGATGATACTTTGGACTGTAGACTTTTGAGTTAGTGCTGAAATGAGTTAAGACTTTGGAAGACTGTTGGGAAGGCATGATTGGTTTTGAAATGTGAGGACGTGAGATTTGGAGGGGTCAGGGGTGGAATAATATGGTTTGGCTGTGCCCCCACCCAAATCTCAACTTGAATTGTATCTCCCAGAATTCCCACGTGTTGTGGAAAGGACCCATGGGGGAGGTAATTGAATCATGGGGGCCAGTCTTTCCCATGCTATTGTGGTGATAGTGAATAAGTCTCACGAGATCTGATGGGTTTATCAGGGGTTTCTGCTTTTGCTTCTTTCTCATTTTTCTCTTGCTGCCCCCATGTAAGAAGTCCCATTTGCCTCCTGCCATGATTCTGAGGTCTCCCTAGCCATGTGGAACTGTAAGTCCAATTAAATCTCATTTTCTTCTCAGTCTTGGGTATGTCTTTATCAGCAGCATGAACACAGATGAATGCAGTAACCATTTTACTATCTATATATATCCTGTAACATCATGTTGTAAACCTCAAAGATACACAATAAAATTTATTTAAAAAGACTAAAAGAGAGACTCAATAAAAGTATTTAACATGGCATCGAGAACAGATTTGGCATTCTTAAATGTTATTACCATGGAGGTAGAGAAGTTGTGCAAGTGTGTTAGAAACCCCTTCATTCAGGCTGGCTGCAGTGGCTCACACCTGTAATCCCAGCACTTTGGGAGGCTGAGGCGGGTGGATCATGAGGTCAGGAGATCGAGACCACCCTGGCTAACATGGTGAAACCCCGTCTCTACTAAAAATACAAAAAAATTAGCTAGGCATGGTGGCGGGTGCCTGTAGTCCCAGCTACTTGGGAGGCTGAGACAGGAGAATGGTGTGAACCCAGGAGGTGGAGCTTGCAGTGAGCTGAAATTGCACCACTGCACTCCAGCATGGGCAACAGAGCAAGACTCCATCTCAGAAAAAGAAAAAAAAAAAAGAAACCCCTTCATTCAAAACCAGGCCCCTTCAGCTATAACCAAGTAAATTTTTTGTTTATGGCAATGTAAATTCTACTGAGATGCCAAATGTGTTATTTGACCCAATTGGGGCTAGATGGAAATTCATGATAAACATTTGCAAATTACAAAAGACCCCTAAGCAGTTACTGAGATGACAAGGGTAGAGTTACGTCCAGGTCACTCCTTTCATTATAGTAATAGGTTCTGTAATTCTCACTAAAAACAATCATGAGTTCTCTTGTTAATAGCCCCACTTATATGTATTAGTGGCGTCTGTTCAGTTTCCACTACCTAGGTCTCTCAGTCGCAAAAATCATAGATTCCAAAATGAAACATACATTCTAAAGTGAATGGTGTAAACTTAGAAAGCTTGGGAGAAAACTTAAATTCTCACTGTGACTAACTGCCACTAGGATTTGTTCTGAAGATAAACTGTCAGAAAAGCATAGGAATAATTTTCTTTGATTTTGATTGTGCTGTAACCAGCTTATCAACACCTAGGCACCTGCGTCAAGCATTAGAAGAACTTAAAGACAGACTGTAGAAATGAGAATAGTATCTTTTTCTCTTGTAGTTCCTCCAGTTTTGTCAGGTAGTTACAACTCAACCTACAAGGCGTGGAAATTATCAAAATTCAGTGATATTTTTGTTGGTCGAAAGGAAACCAAGCAATCAAGATAATTTTATACATGAAGTTTTATTTTTTGAGCTGAATCTTACCAGATAATATTCTCATCTCTGTCTCCATCTCTATAGCTGAGATTCTTGGGTAAGTTGTACAAAGCTTAGAGAAAGTTCTTTCCTGTCATCTTCTCAAATTCCTGAAACAAATTCTTTGGACTTGGGTAATGTCATCAATGAGGACCTCCAGCAGACCTATTTGGAATGAATAAAAGTGGGACAAATGCAAAGACTTAATATCAGCAGCCTGAATCTTGTTATGCTTTTATGATTTCCAGGATGTGTTCTGTCCCATTTGTTGCCTTCTCCCCAAATGCATACTGTGTGGCATTGACAGGCTCTTAGAATATGAGGGATTACAATGTTGGTAATTATAGTGATTACATTTGTTGAGTGCTTACTATGTGTCAAGCTTTGCTAAGTACCCTTCTTTCAAAATCTCATTTCCTAGTCACTGCACTTCCGCAAGGTAATACTATTACAAACCCCATTTTACAAATGAGAAAACTGAGGCACAGAGAGGTTATTCATTTACCCAAGGTCATGTAACCAGCACTGTCTCCTGTTGACAAACTATTAATGTTATTTCCCATTTCTCAGCCTTGATTACTACTTAATAAATCACCTGAAAAATAACTGCATATTTTGGTTCATAGTAGTTCCTAGTCACTCAATAGGTCTACCAAAATATATTTTTTATCTTTATTTCTTACCGTCACATGGGGATCACTGACAAATGTTGTGGATGAAAGCCATAGACTGAATTGAGCCATTGATGCCAGGCCTCCTGCCCCACACAGTGGAGTATCTGCTGACATAGGCCTCTACTAGATGCTAAGTTCTAGAACTTAGATGTCACCGAGCCTTACAACATGTGCCTATGGGCACAGTAGAGCCTCAGTGACCTCTGTACCCATCAGGACCTACCTGGCTTGGCTTCCATATCCTTATTTTTGGACTCAGACAAAGAACTCTGCCTCTGTGAAACCTTCCCTGTCCTCTCCATGTCTTCCACAGCTAAGGTGACAGCATGTACTTTGAGAAGCACATTCAGGAGGGCTGTCTGGTATAGGTGAATCACAGGGTACTTGGAGGGGGTGAGACAACACCAGAAGGGGAGGAAAGTTATTGATTAGGGAAGGCGTTACATACTGTTAGAGGAAGTCAGTATCTTATCTAGAGGGAAGCACTAAAGGATTTTAGGCTGGAGAATTGACATAAGCAATATTTGAATTTAGGAAACTCATTCAGCAAAGATGCAAGGGGAACGAGGCAAGACAGTAAGCAGGGAGATTCATTAGAAGGCTATTGTAATAAAGTAGAAGTCCTCCAACTACTACACACAGAACCTCCCAGAGAGCTTTAAAATACAGATTGCTGGGGCTACTCCAGAATTTCCAATCTAGTAGGTTTGGGGTGGGGCCTGAGAATTTGCTTTTCTAAAATGTTCTCAGGGGATGCCCACATTACTGATCTGGGAACCCTGCTTTGAGAATGATGAGAGAACTACTGTTGTAAAGAAAGAACAATTATTTGAATCAAGGCATTGACAGTGGGGATAGGGATGAGAGGCCACATTTAATACATATTTAGGAGGTAAAATGTGACAGTTTTGGTGATGGGATGGAGGGAAGTTAGGAAGGAAAGGTTTTGAGCTGAGTGGCTGGGTGGGTAAAGGAACCATGCCTGAGCTGAGCTAGGGTCCCAAGGAGGATGTATTAGTCCATTTTCACACTGCTGATACAGGCATACCCAAGACTGGGTAATTTACAAAAGAGGTTTAATAGACTTACAGTTCCATGTGGCTGGGGAGGCCTCACAATCATGGCGGAATGTGAAAGGCACATCTCACATGGTGGCAGACAAGAGAAGAGAACTTGTGTAGGGAAACTCCCCTTTATAAAACCATCAGATCTCATGAGACTTATTCACTATCACGAGAATAGCATGTGAAAGACCCACCCCTATGATTAAATTATCTCCCACCAGGTCCCTCCCACAACATGTGGGAATTATGGGAGCTACAATTCAAGATGAGAATTTGGTGGAGACACAGCCCAACCATATCAGAGGAGAGCAGAATCCTCCAAAGTGCAGTACTCTCAGGGTTAATGCATTTTGCTTCACCTCATAATGAGGGTTTCCTTTAAAAGATGGATCAATTTTTCCACATCAGTAATTTCTACTTTTCTAAGTACTATGGCAATATTTTGTGAAGACTTTTCAATAATTTAAGTGTTTTCTGTGGACGGTTTTATGGTACAAAGTAGGAAGGTGTAAGGGAGAGGGATCCTGGGTGACATGAATGAGGCTGTCAGAGGGCGTGTGTTTGGGGCTACATCATGTTCTTTTCCCTCGCTTGTCCCCTCCAGTGCTGTGGTTACAGCTGCAATAGGAAATACCCACAAATGAATTCTCCTGATAGGCAACAATTATGAATATTATCATTCAGCAGCCAGGGAAGTTGTATGCCATTTTCAAAAAGGATGAACAATAATTTTTCTTTGAATGTGGCATAAGGGAAATAGAGCTTGAAAAGGGAACTGTAAGTGGGAGAAGTCAGTCGCAGCAGGATTTCCTTATGTTTTCTACCAAGCAGGAAGGAAAGAAAACTGTGTTCATCTTGACTTTGAGAAAAGATTATAAATAAATTGCCTGGTAAGCTCTCAAGCAATGGATTGATCAGCAGATGCAGAAGCTGCTGGTATTTTCTGACACTGAGCTCTTTCCACCCAGTCTGTGCCACTGGAGGCACTACTGTGACAGCAAATTAGAAAGGATGTGCTCCTGGAAAGACACTCGTTGGCCAAGCTGGTCATAATTCATGCTCTGGCAATACTGTGCCTGGAGGAGGGAGAATGAAACATTTATGAAAATGGCTCCTAGCAACACATCACATTTGTCAAAAGGAAAAAGGCAGGAAAGCAGGAATCATCTCCCCAAAAGAGGCCATGCTGGTTTTGTTTTTTTTTGACTAGACTGCATGTGTGAGTTTTTGAAGGTGAACCCGTGGGTGATTCATATCTGCAACTAGCTTAGTTGTTAGTGCCTTATCATATTTTACCAGAGGCCAGGTGAGCTTTCTTGCAAGGTAATGGGGAAGAATCGGGGCTCGGTTATTCAATAGGCAGACTAAGCATGTGTTTACGGCACTTGCAAAACTGGAGCAAAAAATTTTCTTAAGGGAAGGATAGTATCTAAAAATTGGAGGAAAGCATCTCAATGGTCATCATGTGTAGACCCAGATTTTTTTTTATTATTATACTTTAAGTTCTGGGATATATGTGCAAAACATGCAGGTTTGTTACATAGGTATGCATGTGCCATGGTGGTTTGCTGCACCTATCAACCCATCATCTAGGTTTTAAGCCCTGCATGCATTAGGTATTTGTCCTAATGCTCTTCCTTCCCTTGCCCCCCCATCCCCCAACAGGCCCTGGTATATGATGTTCCCCTCCCTGGGTCCACGTATTCTTATTTAGACCCAGAATTTTGTGGGATTTCTTTATGCCCAAACACTGTTCGGCAAATATAATTAAAAACAAAATTTTCCCGCTCAAGAAATCTTTTCCACAAAAGAAGAGAAAGACAACAGTTTTATTACTGAAAAAGCATTAAACCCAAATGTGATGTGCATCACAGGCAATCCCTCAAGAGATTGCAAAGATAGAAAGAAATCACACCCCTTTCTATAGCCAAGCAGATACAACCTATTCCAGATGTGTTCTCAAGATAAATAATAACTAGTCCTCAGGTAAGAAGACTTGACAGCACTATTTGTCACACATCCTTTGTTCTAACTTTACCTGGTAATTGAGGTGACCATCTGTGTTAGCTAATTGGCTTTATCCAGAGGAAAAACAAACCTCTCATATCTTTATGACAGGAGGTAGTTTTGCAACTTGGAGGATTGTGCCTGCCTAAGTTAGGCTCCTACCCTTCCACAGAAACTGGGAGATAGGGGCACTATCTCCCTTGATGTTTGCATTTCAGAGAAATGGTTCCCAAGGCTTTGAGGAAGCCTTTCTGGGTCATAAAGCCGACAAAAGACCTATCTAATTTTGGCAAAGGTTTATATACATTTCAAAGAGAGGAGAATATGCTTACAATTTTAAGGTTTCTAAAGAAAATGCTGTAAGAAAAAGGAGAGGAGGGAAATCTCTTTCCTTATTTATTTATTTATTTATTTATTATTTTTTTTTGAGACGGAGTTTCGCTCTTGTTGCCCAGGCTGGAGTGTAGTGGTGCGATCTTGGCTCCCTGCAACCTCCACCTTCCAGGTTCAAGCTATTCTCCTGCCTTAGCCTCCCGAGTGGCTGGGATTACAGGCACGTGGGACCACGCCTGGCTAATTTTTTGTATTTTTTAATAGAGACGGGCTTTCACCATGTTGGCCAGGCTGGTCTCGAACTCCTGATCTTGTGATCCACCCGCCTTGGCCTCTCAGAATGCTGGGATTATAGGCATGAGCCACTGCACCTGGCCCTCTTTATTTATTTTAAATAAAAAAATTGACAGGTAAAATCGTATGCATTCACACCATGTACAGCTTGTTGTATTAAAGTATATATACATTGTGTAATGACTAAATCTTGCTAGTTAACATATGTATTATTACCTCACAAAGTTATTATTATTTTTTGGTGAGAACACTTTAATTCATTCTCTTAGCATTTTTCAAGCATAAAATTATTATTAACTATAGCTACCATGTTGCACAATAAATTTCTTAAATTGATTCCTCCTATTTAACTGATCTTTTCTTATTTTTAAGAGGGAGAATTAAGACTCTTATTTTGAAATTTTAAGTGTTCTTATAATATTTATTTTATAGTTAACATTGTTTTAATTTTGATTCACTTGTTTTTTTTGGGGGGGGTGGGTTTGTGGAGCGGAGGGGGGATAAAATGTACTATTTTCAGGAATTAGTTTGGCACTAGAATGAGACAGGGCCTGGTATCTGTCCCTGGCTTTGAGGGGCAAACTCAGAGCGGGGAGTAGCAGTGGGATCCAGGGACTTTAGTAATCTGTAACACTTGGTTAGCACTAGGAGGCTGGGCTGAGGGAGCTGGAGGGCTCAGCATGGGGTGGAGTTGAAATGAGTCCAGAAAGGTTTTGGGGATAAGCCCCAAGTCCACCCAAGCAAGCAGACTTGCCATTCTGTCTGTGGGTCTGAAGCCCCCAGTCACTGGAAGGAGGCCCAGAGACAGGACTCCAGACCTTCCAGTGAAACTCTAATGAGAGCAAGGCAGGGTATGGTCAATGGAGGGAGATTAGGAACTCAAAGCTCAAGATAGGGATGGATGTAACTGATAACTATTGCTTCCACTCTGTCTGCCACCGTTAGTCCATCATCAGGAGCATCAAGCTTTCAATGAATTGAGTTGAAATGGCAATTTTTACGTAGTGAATTATGGGCTGCCCTTTGAATTACTACTCATGTTTTCTGATTGTAGAACTATCATATTTTTAGAAAATATCACTGTGGAAACCAATGGCTCTATTAACAACAGGAAACAACTCAAACTGGCCTAAGCCAGAAGGAGAATTGGTTTAGTAAAAGGCAGAGAGGAGCTATCTTCAAGAATAAACCCAGGGATTCAGACGATGCCATCAAATTACTATCTCCCCTTTCCATTTCTTTTTATTTTTAATTGACATACTAATTTTATAGATTTATGGGTATGATGTTTCAATATGTGTATATATTGTGTAATGATTAAGAGCAATTAGTATATTCATTACTTCAAATATTTATCATTTCTTTGTGGTTGTAACATAATTCTTCTAGCTATTTTGAGATATACAATACTTTATGGTTGACTCTAGTCACCTTACCGTGCAACAGGATACCAGGATGTATTCTTCCTTTCTAATTGTAATTTTGTACCTATTAACTATCTTCTCCCTATTCCCACCTTCCCCCCCATCCCCAGTCTCTGGCAACCACTCTTCTATTCACTACTTCTATGAGATCAACTTTTTTAGATTCTGCATATGAGTGAGAACATGTAATATATGTCTTTCTGTGCCTGGCTTATTTCACTTAATGTCATGACCTCCAAGTTCATCCATGTTGTCACAAATGACAGGATTGCATTCTTTTTTATGGGTGAATAGTATTCCATCATGTATATACATCATACTTTCTTCATTCATTAATCTGTTGTTGGACTGTTAGGTTGATTCTATGTCTTGGCTATTGTGTATAGTGCTGCAATAAACAGAGAGTGCAGATATCTCTTCAACATACTGATTTTATATCCTTCGGATATTCACTCAGTAGTGGGATTCCTGAATCATATGATAGTTCCATTTTTGATTTTTTGAGGAATTTCCCTACTGTTTTCTATAATGGTCATACCAATTTACATTCAAATCAATAAATGTGATACATCACAATAACAGAAACAAGGACAAAGGCCATATGATCATTTTAATAGATGCAGAAAAAGCATTTAACAAAGTTCAACATCCCTTCCTGGTGAAAACACATAGTACCGAAAGTCCCAGCAAGAGCAATTAAACAAGAGAAAGAAATAACAGACATTCAAATTGGAAAGAAGAAAGTCAAATTGTCCCTGTTTGCAGAAGACACAATCTTATATCTAGAAAACCCTAAAGTTTCCACCAAAAAACTGTTAGAACTAATGAATTCAGTAAAGTTGGAGAATACAAAATCAATGTACAAAAATCAGTAGCATTTCTATATACTAATAGTGAACTATCTGAAAAGAAAATCCAGAAAACAATTTCATTTGCAATAGCTACGAAAAAGATACTTAGGAATAAATATTTAGCCAAGGGAGTAAAAAGTCTCTACACTGGAACTATAAATCATTGATGAAAGAAATGAAAGAGGACACAAATAAATGAAAAGATATTTCGTATTCATGGATTGGGAGAATTAATATTGTTAAAATGTCCATACTACCCAAAGCAGTCTATAGATTCAATGCAATCACTATCAAAATACCGATGACATTCTCTAAAGAAATTGAAAAAAAAACTAAAATTCATAAAGAACCACAGAAGGCCATAAATAGTAAAATAAAAGCAATTTCTGGCAAACAACAACAACAACAACAAAAACAAAAACAAAGCTGGAGGCATCACACTACCTGACTTAAAAATCTAATACAAAGCTATAGTAACACAAACAACATGGTACTGGCATAAAAACAGACACATAGACCAATTGAATGGTATACAGAGCCCAGAAATAAATCCACACATTTACAGACAACCAATTTTTGACAAAGGTATTGATGGCAGCAGTGGCCAGTCTGGAGCAGCTGCTGCAAAGATGCCAGCTGTGGCAGGGGAGGTGTGACTGGGGCTGTGTGCTGTGTGGATCCAATAGGAGCTGAGAACAGGCAGAAGCCCCACCCCTGTCTAAGTAGGCATTCCTGCACTCTTGGGGGCTCAGGAATCTTCCTTGCTCCTGCAGGTTGGAAATACTTGCTCCTGCTGCCAGGAGCCCTTGCTCTTGGTGCCCACTCTGATTTCGGAGCAATGTTGAGGCCGAGCCTGGGTACTGTTGCCACCCAGCCAAGTGTGCATGTGCTCGGGGAAGTGCTGACACACCAATGCCCTGTTGCCTTGGCTCCCTCCAGACTTTGGGTGCCAAAGAGCACAGGAGGGAGGCCAAAGTGGGGCCAAAGAGCACAGGAGGGAGGCCAAGGGGAGGCCAAGGAGGGCAGCTTGGCATGGGCCTGCAGGCACCCCTCAGCATGAACAGCCTGGGTTTCATGGATGGCAGGTTGATGGTGGCAGGAGGCAGACAGGCTCCTGAGTAGAAAGAGGTGGGTCCCCAGTGCAGCCCTATCTTCAGGCCCGGGTTGGCTTGAAGCCTGGGGGCCAGGCTGCCAGTTCCATGGACAAGAGTGAGAACTTGTGGTGCTTTTTCTGGGCCCACCCATGGCTTCCTCTGGACCAATCAGCATGTACTTCCTCCCCTCTGAAGCCCCCCAAAACCCTAGATTCAGCCAGATTTGGGCAGATATTGGGATGACCTGTCTGCAGGGTGGAGCTACCCACTGTGGGTCTCTGCTCTGCTGAGAGCTGAGCAGACATGGGGTCGACCTCCCTGAGGAGAGGAGCTACCCACTGTGGGTCTTCTCTCTGCTG
This sequence comes from Homo sapiens, assembly GCF_000001405.40. Taxonomy (NCBI): domain Eukaryota; kingdom Metazoa; phylum Chordata; class Mammalia; order Primates; family Hominidae; genus Homo; species Homo sapiens. Next base: position 100,667,662 of record NC_000009.12, read on the forward strand.
AGAGCTGAGCAGATGTAGAGATGACCTGTGTGAGGAGAGGAGCTACCCACTGTGGGTCTTCTCTCTCTGAGAGCTGAGCACATGATGGGATGACCTGCCTGCGGAGACGAGCTACACACCGAGGGTCTCCTCTGAACTGTTCTGTTGCTCAATAAAGCACCTCTTCACCTTGCTCGCTCTCCACTTGTCCACATACCTCATTCTTCCTTGACACAGGATAAGAACTTGGGGACCCCTGAATGGTGGGGTTGAAAGAACTATAATACAAACACGGCTGAAACATGCCCCTTGCTCACTACATTGTGGGTGATGAGAAGGAGAGGACAGAAGAAGAGAAGAGCTGTGGCACTTTGGGGATCTCAGACCTAGGAGCTCCCAAGCCAGAGCCATGACACCCACTTTGGGACTCCACAATTCGTGGCATCTCTAAGCATCCAGGTGCCACTGCATTCCCTGGTGCCAGCTGTGGAAGCTGCTTGCCATACGCCTGGTCCAGCCGCAGCCTCACAGGGAGCTGGCATCCATGCTGGTGCCTGGAGCTGCCTGCCCCACCACAGCTGGCATGCCTGGCTGTGCACAGTGGCTGGACCCTGTGCTCACTCACTCATGCACCCCTTACCACTCTGTGCCTGGGTCACCCTTGGCAGGTGTGGGATCCGGGCTGGTAGCATGAGCCAGGTGCACCTGCCAGGCCGAGTGGGTGGAACAAGCCTAGTGGGCCTGAGCAAAACTCGAGCAAAGGTGTCACCAGCCACAAAGGTTTCCAGCTGGTGAAGCAACACCCCAAGGATCCTGTCACAGTGTCAAGAACACCCAGTCTCTTCAATAAATTGCACTGGGAAAATTGGATATCCACCTGCAGAAGAATAACACTGGACCCCTCCCTTTCACCATATACAAAAATCAACTCAAAATGAATCAAAGACTTAAATGTAAGACCCCAAACTATAAAACTACTGTTAGAAAACATTAGGAAAATGCCTCCTCATATTGGACTAGGCAATGAGTTTTTGGATAAGACCTCAACAGCACAGGCAACCAAAGCAAAAATAGACAAATGGGATTACATCAAACTAAAAAGCTGCTGCACAGCAAAGGAAACAACAAGTAAAGAGACAATCTACAAAATTGGAGAAAATACTTACAAACTATACATCTGATAAGGGGTTAATAAATAGTATAAGGAGCTCAAACAGCTCAATAGCAAAAAAACCCCACCATCACCCCTAAAAAAGAAAAAAACAACCCATAATTCAATTAAAAAATGGGCACATACAAATGGCAAACAGTTATATGAAAAGGTGATCAACATCATTGATCAATAGAGAGATGCAAATCAAAATTACCATGAGATATCTTCTCACCCCAGTTAAAATGACATTTATCCTAAAGACAGGCAATAAACGCTGGCAAGGATGTGGAAAAAAGGGAACCCTCTTACACTGTTGGTGGTAATGTAAATTAGTACAATTACTATGGAGAACAGTTTTGAGGTTCCTCAAAAAACTAAAAATTGAGCTATCAGGTAATCCAGCAATCCCACTGCTAGCTATATACCTCAAAAGAAAGGAAATTAGTATTTTGGAGAGATATCTGCACTCTCATGTTTATTGCAGCACTATTCACAATAGCCAAGATTTGGAAACAACCCAAGTGCCCATCAACAGATGACTGGATAAAGACAATGTGGTACACATACACAATGAAGTACTATTCATAAAAAAGAATGAGATCCTGTGATTGGCAACAACATGGATGCAACTGGAGGACATTATGTTAAGTGAAATAAGCCAGGCACAGAAAGACAAACTTCACATGTTCTCACTTATCTGTGGGAGCCAAAAATGAAAACACTGGAACTCATGGAGTAGAATTGTGGTTACCAGAGGTTAGGAAATGTAGAGTGTGTGTGTGGGGAGGTAGGCGGGATGTGGGATGGTTAATGGGTACAAAAAAATGGAAATAATCAATAAGATCTAGTATTTGATAGCCCAATAGGGTGACTATAGTTAATAATAATTTAATTGTACATTTAAAGATAACTAAAAGAGTATAATTGGATGGTTTATAATACAAAGGATAAATGGTTGAGGTGATTTATACCTAATTTACCCTGATGTGATTATTACACATTATTACACATGCCTGTATCAAAATATCCCATGTACCCCACAAACATATATACCTGAAGTGGCATCATTGTCTGGGGTAAATACCCGAGGTTCATCATCTTATGCCAGGAAAATTGAGGACGGGGACACACAAGAAGTGAGTTAAAGATCAGAGATTTAATAGGAGAAAGAAAGAGAAAAGAGACTAGCTCTCTTGCAGAGAGAGAGTGGCTCCCAAGTCAATCTTCCATTTCTGTGGTGAAATGCATGGGGTTTTATAGACGAGCTTGACGGGGCGGTGTCTGATTTACATAGGTCCCAAGAGATTGGTTAGACCAGGTGTGCTGTTTGCATAGTTCAGGAAGAACCTGGCCACCCCACCCTAATCTTTTATTACGCAGAAGGTTTCTACGTGGCCAGCGCAGCCTTTTTACTGCACACGTGGCCACAAAGAAAAGGGAAGAGGAAACCTCCATGTTGAACATGCATGCCCCCCAGGTAGCCTTTTCCTATTGGCACAGCTGCCAGCATTTACCTATGCAAGCTTCCAGCTTGCTTATTTATGTCTGCAGCTCGATTTTACAGGCTGCTCTTTGTCAGAAAAGAAATGATTTGGGGCTGCTTTTTTGTTACAAGGGAAGCCTTCCTGAGGACTCTCTTACCCTTACTAACTGCCTAAATAATTTCTTTTTTGCTCACTAACTGCCTAACTAATTTCTTTTTTTGCTCCTGTATCATACCTACAATGTACCCACAAAATTAAAAATGAAAAATGAAAAAAATAAGCAAAAGACCTTAATATACATTTCTTAAGAGAAGACATACAAATGGCCAACAGGCATATTAAAAAATGCTCAACATTACTAATCATTAGGGAAATGCAAATCAAATCCAAGAGAAATCACCTCATTCTAGTTAGAATGGATATTATACAAAAAAGACAAAAGACAACAAGCATTGGTGAGAATGTGGGGAAAAGGGAACACTTACACACTGTTGGTGATAATGTAAATTAGTACAGCCTTTCCCATTTCCTGTTTTCCTTCCTTGGCAGGCAGGCTCTCTCCTCACAAAGTGGTTACCAGCTGCGCCAAGTTTACATGCATGGATGGTCTTCAGTGCCTGGGATTGTAAAAAGGACATAAAGCTTCTTGCCGTGTGTGTATTTCAGTTCCCTAAATCAGATCTCTGATTCACCTTACTTGGGTCACATGCTCATCTCTGAAACCAATCACTGTGTATAGACAGAAGAGCACTTTGGGGGTAAAGTTGAGGCCACATGACTTACAGCCCCATAGAGGTTATGTTAACAGAAGAAGAGGAGGGAAAACAGGGTTGATGAAGCAACTGTCATCCACTACAACTGTCCCCTCCTGGAGGTGAAGAACAGTGTCTTATTTGCCTTTGTAACCCCAATGTGTAGCAAAAGCTCTAGGACACAGTGGATTTTCAGTACATATTTGTTGAGTGCATGAGCTTGCATTCTTCCTTTTGACACATCTTTATTGCCTAAGTATGTTGATCTGATAGCCGTAGAATTTGGTAATGGTATGGAGGAGCAGATTTTGGATATAACCAGAACAAAATATTTGCATCAGAAATAATTTCCTTGCTTGAAAGCAGTTATTTATAATGCCAGCAGCCAGTTTAAAGTAAAGAATACATGTGAGTAGTGCTTAAAGAGGTGCTTGTTGAGAACACTGCCTGTTGAATAGCAGGTGCTATAAAAATGTTAGTTAAAGAAATAAATTCTGGGTAAAATGTGGCTTTAAGTAGAATAAGTAAAAAATGTTAGTAATTCTGTATGTTTAAAGTATAATGGCCTAATTACAGTTATTTAGGGAGGCACCAACACCTGGGAAGCCTCGCATAGGTCTTCAGGCAGACTTAAGTACTTACATATTTTCAGGCATTTTGTGCATATCCCCAGTAAATAACTTGTTATACTGTTTCACTGAATCTTAAAATGTCCTATTGAACTACCCTTAGGGGAGGAGGTGTGAACTTAATCTCCAGAGGGCAGAGGTATTGCCTGAAGCATCCTCCTCAAAAGTGAGAAATTTCTTTGCAGTGTCTCTTTTAATGCAAAACAAAGGCATGCATATTTTGCATTCTGTTCCATGGTATCCCCATGTTTGTTGTAATATGAACAATCATCTGTCCTTTCCCATTGGAAGCACAGCATTGAAGAAATTCTCCCCAGATGACACAAAGGCAATTTTACATTCTGTAATTCTTCCCGCCACTCATTAGGCAATTTGAGGCGTTTTCTAAAACTCATGGTAATTTTTATCCAAGGAGAAGGGCACAATAGTTCACAAGAAGGAGTGGAATCCACTTTGGTTAAAAAATAATGAGGTCTGTTTTGCATAAGAACAGCTGCTTAATCAGTCTCGGCCCTGTGCTCGCACAAGTTTTGCTGACTTTTTCTTCCAAATAATTTTAACAATGCTCACGCTTTCTGGTATTGCCTGAGAATGTGTAGAAAGAACACTGGGTTGGCAAGAGAAACACTGTCATGAATGATCCCTGTACCCTCAGAAAACCACTTCATCTTGGTTTTCTTACCCATTAAATGAGAAGCTTAAACTCAGTGGTCTTTAAAATCAATTCCACTTACCAAATTTGTTTTTAGCACAGGGAACTATATTAGCTGTCCATATGCACCAACTGGACAAATACCTGGTAAAAACTATTGGAAGGAAAAAGCAGACTCAAGAGTTTCAATGTGAGCTGTCTGTTCTTCTCCTTTGAATGGTGTGATGTAGATGTAGTCTGAATCATAGTTACTTTTTAAATATTTTAAAACATTTATTTAGTGCCAGGTACTCTCCCAAGATCTTTAAAAATCCTACCTTATTAAATTGTCATAATATCACACAATGAGATGGGTACTATTATTACCTCCATTTTACAGATGAGAAACCTGAAGCATGGAGAGGTTAATTAACTTGTCCAAAGTCACAACTGGTAAAGGCAGAGCCAGGCTGGAGCCCAGGAAATCTGGCTCCAGAGTTAAACTACCATATTATGCTACCTCTCCATATAATAACAGAGATGCTGTATCTTCTCCTGCTGTGAGGGTAGGCTGCAAACTGTGCCCTGGCATTTATGCTCATGATGTAAAGATAAAGAAAATTTGGCCCCTACCGTCCTAGAACTTACAATTCAGTGGAAGAGAGAGACTCATAGACAGCAAATTATAGGAGGAGTGCTTTCAGAGGCGTGAGTGAAGATCTATAGGAGGTGGAGGAGGCAGTGGTTCTGTCTGGTTAGGGAAAGATAGAGGGCAAGGGGAAGACATACAGGGACAGCTCTGAAGGAACTTGGACTAATTGTAGGATGTGTATGAATTTACCAGGGAGAGAAGGGAGTTTTGATGAATCTGGAAGGCGATTCTAGCCAAAAGGATCAGTACACACAGAAGTGTAAGAAGGCCCATGATGCCACCGAAGCTTGGAGATTCCCACCCAAGTAGTACTTTGCCAGGAAGCAGGAGTGAATGTTTCCTGTATTATTTAAACTTTTTACATTGAGCATATATTCTATTTTTTAAAAAACATATAAAGCTATTATATTTTAAGCCATGATTGTCCAAGCCGTCCTCATGTGGACTACTCTATGGCCTCCTTTTGAAATCCTCATCTTCTCCCACCATCTGTTCTCCCCCCTGCAGCCCGGGTGATCTTTCAGAAAGCCCCACTCTACTTAAACACTCTTGTGGCTTCTCAGACATTAGAAAAAAAATCTGAGCACTTTACCTTACAAAGCTCTTACCAAGTTCTTTTAATATTATCACTTGAGAACTTGGAGCAGGGCAGAGGTTGATTTTCTACCCTGTATAATAATAAAGATCAAAGGAGGTCTATTTTGCTCCTAGAGTAAAGATGATTTTATGAAGCTACATATTTTCCTTGAAGAGTCTATTTTTGGACAAGTGGAAAGAAGCTCTGGGCATAGAAAGAAAACACACACACACACACACACACACACACACACACACACACACTTTGACATAAAATTACTTGCTTACTTGCTAGGTCCTGTTAGGACATCCTTATAGAAGATCAGCATTTGGCATATATTGCCAAAGTGAAAAATGTGTAATAATGAAGTGCCAGATATAAAAGATAGAGACTCAGAGGCTTGTATAAATTGCCCAAAGATGGCTAAGAAGAAAAAACTGCTTTGAGCTTTGGCTGAAAAATTGTGAAGTGTGTTCTCTGAATGGTGATGCCTTCACTGAGTTTTTACTATACACAACATAGGAAAATTGACCCTATGGGGAAGTGGAAGTGTGTCCAAAACATAGAACAGGTGCTTTCCTGAAGGCATTCATAATTAAGGAGCTATAAAATATATGTGCACCATAAGCAGTTTGAAAACAACTATAAAGAAAGGAGATTAGAAATACTAGGGTGTCTAGCACAGACCTAATGTATATGTGCTGAGGGGTGAAAACAGATGGAAAGGGGCGGCAGGTTCTGGGGAAAGATTCTCACAAGAGACACATTTCGAGCTGGGACTTAGATGATGTGGATTGTTGCAAAATGATAAGGAGGTCATCTGAGGCGGAGGGCAAGGTTTGAGCAAAGTTAGTGAGAAGGATCCTAGGGAGATATGTACAGGAGAAGGCCTTTGTGAGCAGGACAGAGCTGTGTTGGCAAAGTTGTGCTTCCATAAACTACCATCAAATATCTAGATAAGAATGAGCATTATGAAAATAAATAGGAATTATACAAAAAACATACTGGTACTTGAAAATAAGCCAATTGCTTCAGGCATTGAGAATTTTGCAATATAATTCCTGGGAAAGAGAGCCTGAGTTGCTTTGCTGAATCATTAATTCCTTCAACATCTGTTGAATACTGTGATTCACATATCAGATGCATTTAGGTGCTCCATCCAAAAATATGGTGTAAACACAAATCTTTTTTTTTTTGGAAAAAGGAATGGTACAAGAAATAAACAAAAATACATACACACCCTATTGTTGGTAGTGATGCATTCCTTCTCAGAATAATATGGTGCCTGTGTGAATAAGGAAGAAAGATATTTTTAGAGAGATTCTCTCCTCACTTTGGAGTATGAAGACAACACCTGCCAAATTTGGCTCAAAATGATCATTGTGCCTTGGCAGACATGCACGTGAACAACTGACTCAGCCACAAGGGTGATTTCAAAAGCAACAGCAGTTTCTGGGCATAGGATTTCAGCTCTGAGCATCTGTTGTAACCCTGTACTATTTCCTTCAATATTTTTAGTAACTTGTAGTTGCAAATGCAAGATTCCTAATAACAGCAGCAATAATGACAGATTTTATGACCCCTAGAACTAAACAGTGTGCTTCAGTTATTGAAGAACCAAGTCAAACATTTTTAAGAGCATCTTCTTTCCCAGGTTACACTTGGAAGAAGTAAAATGTATTTTTTTCAATTGTATCTAGCTCTTTAATGAATAATTTTCATCATTTACTAGTATAAACTGCTAATTTACAACGCAGATTATATTCTGCTATTTTAGCATTCTTTTATAGAGTTAGTATTTTTTTCTAGGAAAAATATCTTAGGAACACATTTACACCTGAACAGGGATGCTGAACATGGATACTAGTTATTTTATTTTTCTATAAATTATTTGATCCAAGCATTATAAAAAGCCCACATAAAGACAATTACAACCAGCAAATATAAAAATGGAGTGACATTAAGTCTTTGCTGTCGCCTTTAATGACATGCTCTGAATGATTATTTCTTCTAGTTAGAGGAGGTATTTGGCCTTATGACAAAACTCATCCTCTTAATTAACCTCAAATGAATGCAAGGGGTATTTTAAAAATTGTGGCCGAGTGATTGTAGCCAACTTTTCCCATTTGACATCTGTGAATTCCCAGGTTAGAATTTCCATAATCTGTGTGGAATAGGTTCATGTGTGGTGTAGAGGAAGGATGGTAAAGTCAGTGTGCATTATATATGTCACTGGCTTTCATTGGGCCTAATTATAGAATGTTGCAATGTTTAAAGTTGTATTAGGTTAGCAACCTCTGACATAGCCTTCCCCAAGTTTGCATGAATGTGCGTACGGAGGCGCAAAAGAAAATCTTAAAACTATTATACCACCTAAGAAGATAAAAGAAAAAAAGCTAACTGACAGAAGGGGGATTTAGAAACACCTCCTCATTTCCTTTTCTGGCACACCCATGCTTTACCATATGAAATAGGTATTTGAAAAACAAAAACAAAAACACAGCATACTCTGATTCCTCTTCCTTGCCATATGTGCCATCTTAGGGACCCTGGGTCTCATATTTCTTCTGCACAATGATTTTTTAAGATGACAAAAGTATCTACTCCCCTATCTTTTTATAATTGTTTATACTAAAGGTTACTGGAAAACAACAGAGTTGGAAGAAGGAGGTGGGTGCTGGCAGGGGGCATGTTGCCCATTACAGAGGAACAAATGAACAGATGGATCTGGGTTAGAATCTTACTTCTTCTGCTTAATAAATGAGAAACTTTGGGAAAGTGACTTATTCTTTCTGAGCTTCAGTTTCTTCATCTCTAATATGTGTATAATATTGTCTCTCTTACAGAGTTATTATATGGATTTGAAGTAGAAAGTGTCCTATATAAAGTTGGCCTATAGTAGGTGTTTGTCTCAGTCTATTTGGGCTGCTGTAACAAAATACCACAGACTGGGTCATTTATTAAACAACAGAAATTTCTTATTGTTTTGGAGGCTGGGAAGTCCAAGATCGAGTTACCAGTAGCCTCACTGTCTGGTCAAGGTTTGCTCTGCTTTAAAAATGGTGCCTTTGCTGTCCTCACGTGGTGGAAGGGGCAAGGCAGCTCCCTTTAACCTCTTTTATAAGGGCACTGCCCTCATGACTAAATCGCTTTCCCGAAAGTCCCACTTCTTAATACTATACGTTATTAGATTCCAGCATGAATTTTGGGGTGATGCCAAGATTCAGAATGTAGCAGTCTTCCAGACATGGTAGCTGTTCTCCACCAGCACCACTATTGTAGTATCCAATAGGTAAAGCATTATGGTTAGGGGAGGAGACAGGATGATAGATGTTTGTTGTAGTATGTGATGGGGGATGTGATTTTTAATTCATTGGTTGGGTTCAGTATGTCAGAGACCCAGACATAGGGGAAAGAACTCTTCTCCTCAGAATTGTAGAGCTGACTGCTAGAAGCCAGGATGGAAACCTACACTTCAACTGTAGGTTGGTAAGTGTGATTCAGGCAGAAATTGGCCAGAATTCATAAACTGGGCAAGTTGTCTATGCTGGTCTCAAACTCCTGGGCTCAAGTGATCCTGCTGCCTTGGCCTCCCAAAGTGCTGGGGTTATAGGCATGAGCCACTGTGCCTGGCACAGTCTACTATTGATGGGCATTTAGGTTGATTCCATGTCTTTGCTATTGTGAGTTGTGTTGCAATGAATGTGCGGGTGCATGTGTCTTAATGGTACAACAATTTATGTTCCTTTGGGTATATACCCAATAATGGGATTGCTGGGTCAAATCATAATTCTGTTTTAAGTTCTTTGAGAAATCTCCACACTGCTTTCAACAATGGCTGAACTAATTTACATTCTCATCAGCAGTGCTTAAGTGTTCCCTTTTCTCTGCAACCTCACCAGCATCTATTATTTTTGACTTTTAAAAAAGAACAGCCATTCTGATGGTGTGAGATAGTATCTCATTGTGATTTTGATTTGCATTTTTGTAATGATTAGTGATGCTGAGCATTTTTTCATATGATCGTTGGCCACATGTATATCTTCTTTTGTAAACTGTCTGTTCATGTCCTTTGCTTACTTTTTAATGGGGTTATTTTTTGCTTGTAAATTTGATTAAGTTTCTTAGAAATTCTGGATGTTAGACCTTTGTCAGATGCATAGTTCACAAATATTTCTGTAGGTTGTCTGTTTATTCTGTTGATAATTTCTTTTGCCGTGCAGAAACTCTTTAGTTTAAGTCTCATTTGTCAATTTTGTTTTTGTTGCAGTTGCTTTTGGTGTCTTCGTCATAAAATCTTTGCCAGGGCCTATGTCCAGAATGGTGTTTCCTAGGTTATCTTTTGGAGTTTTTATAGTTTTAGGTTTTACATTTTAGTCTTTAATCCATTGAGTTGAGTTTTGTATATGGTGTAAAGGAGTGCAGTTTCAGTCTTCTGCATATGGCTAGCCAGTTATCCCAGCACCATTTATTGAATAGGGAATCCTTTCTCTGTTGCTTGTTTTCACTGACTTTGTTGAAAATCAGATGGTGGTATGTGTGCAGCATCATTTCTTGGCTCTCTGTTCTGTTCCATTGGTTTATATGTCCGTCTTTGTACCAGCCTCATGCTGTTTTGGTTACTGCAGCCTTGGAGTATAGTAAATTGATTTTTCCTATCCATGAGTTTTTCCAGTTGTTTGTGTCATCTCTGATTTCTTTGAGCAATGTTTTTAATTCTTGTTGTAGAGATCTTTCACCTTCCTGGTTAGTTGTATTCCTAGATATTTTACTCTTTTTGTGGCTATTGCAAATGGGATTGCATTCTTGATTGGCACTCAGCTTGCATGTTGGTGTATAAAAATGCTACTGATTTTTGTACATTGATATTGTATTCTGAAACTTTGCTGAAGGTGTTTATCAGATGAAGTAGTTTTGGGCAGAGACTATCGGGTTGTCTAGGTATAAGTCACATAGTCTATAAACAGAGGTAGTTTGACTTCCTCTCTTTCTATTTGGGTGCCTTTTATTTGTTCCTCGTACCTGATTGCTCTGGCTAGGACTCCCAGTACTAAGATGAATAGGAAGGCACACCACATTTTTGAAAGAGAAATTATATCAGATGAAACACTTTCTAAAAGAACAGTAATTTAGAGGGGTTTTGTCCGGTAACATATTACAATGTGTTACAAATCAGAATATGGAAAAATGTGTGTTAATGGACTAATGATGGACGTATTAATGAAATTGAAGGCAGAGTCCTCAATAGATCCATGTGATAAAGATCACACTTAAAATAAGTGGGAAGGAAGAAAGAAATATATCGTAAGTCATGCTAGACAGCAGAGGAAACTGTTTAGGAAAAAGTTTTACCTAAAATAAATTCCACCTGAATGCAGATATAAATGTTTAAAAAGACCTGAAGTAAATTGGGTATAGAACAAGTAAATAAATATAGAAGAACTGGCCTAGATGTACGTGTCTATGTCTAAATTTATATCTATACTTACCTACATTTATATCATCTGAAAGTGTGAAAATCTAAGGATGGCACAACAGGCAGAAGCCATAAGAAAATGGAGGACGATTTTGCACATAAAGAATATAAATCATAAATAAACACCATAAATAAAAAGACATATGCATGAATGATGTATTACTTTTGCAGTCTGCTTTCTGATTTTTCTACAATGGGAATTATAGTTGGTGTTCTCTAAGAGGACCAGATATACAGATGATGACAGCAAGGCAGTAGAGCATGGAAACTGAGGGGACTTCAGTGGCATATAACCTCTGTTCCAATCCTGGGATACTTCTTGTGTCACATTAAACAATTTAACCTAGCTTGTCTGTACCTCAGTTCCTTGATCTTTGTAATGAGTAGTAAAACCTACCTTAGAGTTGTAAGAATTAAATGTATTAATGTGTATGCATGGCTGTTAGGATAGTGCCTGTTATTTAACGAGCACTTTAAGTGATAGCTATTATTATCTAAGACCTTTTCTAGTTTCAATGTCCTACAGTCCTGCAGAGGACAAAAGAATGAATGGGAGCTTGGCACAAACAATCCCTTTCCCAACAGAATAACTAACTTTAGAAGAGACTATCAGATTCTAATAAATTGTGCTTTTTAGCTCAAGGTTTAAAAGAAGCTTGTGGTTCCAGGCAATGGTCAAATGTGGTCAGTTGTTAGGGCTAAAATTACATTAATGACGTTATATAATTTTATATAATGAGGAAAACAGAGCAAGAAACATGTACCTTTTATTATCTGCATAAGCAAAGCAAACATATAAAATAATGGCACAAATTTTACGGGGTGAGAGGGAGTTGGGAATTGGGAAGGAGACAAGTTCTCTTTATTCTCACACATGGACAATAAATGAAATTACAATTTTCCCTTGATTTCTTCTCTACATGAAAGCTGAAATCCTGGATATACCTGTCACAAATGATCCTTGTTCTCAGCTTAGTCTTTTATTTTCTATTTGACTCTGTGGTGACATTGATGAGCTACTTCATCACTTCTCTATTGTTACCCACATGACACACACCTTCCAGAGCTGTGATCAAAAGAATAGATGTGCTAAGGAGAGGATGAGTAATTGTAAACCTCCCATGAATCCACATGATATCTGTACCAGGGAAAAGAGGGCGAGGAAGAGAAGTAGCAATTAACTGAAAGACAGCTGTTTTGAAGCTGATTGGGTGGAAACATATGACCGAAATACATACTGGGTTGGAAGGCCCCCATTTTTTCTTATAAAATTGTGTTTTTTTCCCCTAGTGCCAAAAGCAATATTCACTAATAGTAGAGAAAAAAGGAAATATAGATAAGTAAAATAACATTACCTATAATCCCAATCCCCAGTTTTATAGAGGATAAAAGAATGAATGGGTATAAGGCAAACTGCTCTTAAGAATAGAGCATTTTGATGGATCTCTGTGATTTTTTGTACTTCATCTGAGCTACTTTTTTTTTTTTAAGTTAAAGACAAGGTCTCATTATGTTGCTATGTTGCTCAGGTTGTTCTTGAACTTCTGGGCTCAAGTGATCCTCTCACCTCAGCCTCCTGAATAGCTGGGACTACAGGTGTGTGCCACTACCCCCAGCTATAGCTATGTTTTTTTTTTTTTTTTGAAAAAATGTATTCAAATGATATTTGGTATTTTATACTTCTTTTTCACTTACTGTATTACAAACATGTCTGTAAAGAATGGTAAAGCATTTATGAACCAAATTTTAATAGCTGCATAAAATTCTATTATATAATTCCATTATAAATATCATAATTTATTTTACTTATTTCCCAGTTTTGGACACTCAGATTACCTATATCTTATACTTATTTTTATGTAGAAATCTTTGGGCACATGAGTTATTTCCTTAGAATAAATTCCTTGAAATTACATTGCCAGGTCAAAGTTTATGCATATTTTAAGGAGCTTGATACTGTGCCAAATTGCTCTGGAGAAAGGCATTATCAATTTATGCCTCCACCAGCAGTGTATATAAGAGTGCCTAATTCCTTTTGTCTTTGACAATTCTAGGCATTCTAATTATTTTTTATCTTTGTGTTCTTATTGAACTAACCCTGCCCTCACAAAGATTTCATCTAGAAGGAGACAAGACAATATACAGACAATTTCAATTTACAGTGGTTATCTCTATACTAGAGGAAGTATAGGGATCTACTGAAGCCTGCAGAAGAAGCACCTTAACTAGAATTTGGAATTTTCTCATTACCATTTTAATCTACATTTCTTTGATTACTGACAGGTTTAACTTTTTAAAGTAGGTTATTCACAATTTTAATTTCTTCATTTGCGAATTACAGGTCTGTGAAAATAAATCTAGAATCTGTCAACTAAAATCACATTGAAAAACACTTTTCACAATTTGTACATTCAGACATGATGAATGTAACTGGAAGACCTTACCTTTTTTCAAATATTATTTCATCATTTAGTTAACTGTATTTTTAAAATAGATGGTCTTTATCACATTGAGCATTTAACTATTTCACCCTTTGTTTCTATCTGTTTCACATACTTTGTAGCTCCGTTACTAGGTACAGAGATAAAGAGGGACATTAGAAAAGATAAAATGGCTAGGGGTGGTGGCTCATGCCTGTAATCCCAGCACTTTGGGAAGCTGAGGTGGGTGGATGATGAGGTCAGGAGTTCAAGACCAGCCTGGCCAACATAGTGAAACTTCGTCCCTACTAAAAATACAAAAATTAGCCATGTGTGGTGGCACGTGCCTGAAGTCCCAGCTACTTGGGAGGCTGAGGCAGGAGAATTGCTTGAACCCAGGAGGCAGAGGTTGCAGTGAGCCGAGACCGTGCCATTGCACTCCAGCCTGGGCGACAGAGTGATACTCCATCTCAAAAAAAAAAAGAAAAGATAAAATGTTGGTTAATCAGCAATATCTAACATTCTGAAACATGTTTATACCTAATAACTTTCACCCTTTTTAGTTTTATTCTACATTTTCCTGAAATCCTAGCCCCTAGCCAGTGCAGAAGGTCAAGTAAAAGAAATAAAAGGCAAAAAAGAAAAAAAAGAGAAGTAAAATAATCTTCATTTGCAGACAACGTGACTAGGCATATAGAAATCCACAAAGCAACTATTAAAGCTGATAATTGAACTTAGCAAGGTAACAGAGTAAAAGATCAATATACAAAATTGCATTTTATACTAGACGCAAGTAAGTTTTATAAGCAATTCTATTTGTAATAGCCTAAAATATGATATAAATAAAAATAAATTTAACAAAAGTTGTGTAAAACCTATGTACTGAAAATTATAAAGCATTGCTGAGAAAAATTAAAGAGGACCTAAATAAATGAAGAAATACACCCATTTCATATATTGGAAGACTCAATATTATTAAATGTCAATTTTTCCAGAATTTATTTATAGAGCGAATGTAATCCCAATAAAAATTTCAGAGCCCTTTTTTTGAGGGGGCTAGAAATTGGCCTGTTGATTCTGAAATTCACATTTAAGGCAAAGGACCTAGAATAATGAAAAAAAAGTCTGATTTACAGATGTACTATAAAGCCATGATAATTAAGCCTGTAGTATTGGCATAAGAACAAGTAGATAAATAGATTAATGAATGGAGCAGCATAGGACATCTAGATGTAGACCCACATATACCATCATTTGATTAAAAAAATTTTTAGAGATGGCGTCTCACTATATTGCCCAGGCTGGTCTTGAACTCCTGGACTCAAGAAATCCCCCTGCCTCGGCCCCCCAAAGAGTTGGGATTACAGGTGTGAGCCACTATACTCGGCCACAATTAATTGAGTTTTGAAAAAAGCACCACGTGTATTCAATGGGGAAAGGATTTTTTTTTTCCAGCAACTGGTGCTGGAATAACTGAATAAACATGGGAAAAAAAATGAATTTTAACACTTACCTAACTGTATAAACAAAACTTAATTGAAGATAAATGATTGACCTATGTTTAAAAGGTAAAATTATAAAGTGTCTAGAAGGAAACAGTATGTTAGTAAACTTGGTATACACAAAGATTTCTTATGAAAAGCACTAACCATAAATGAAAAAAATATACAAATTCGGCTTTACCGAAACTTAACTATCTTCTCATAAAAAGACATTGTTAACAAAATGAAAAGACAAGCCAGAGATGGAAGGAATATATCATATATCACAATACATATATATGAAATAAATATAAAGAACATGTATTTACATATAAAGAACTCCTACAACTCAACAATAAAAGACAACCCCATTTAAGTGGCACTAAGGACATGAAAAGGGGAAAAACATGATTAATTACAGTATTAAATAAATATAAATTTAAGTCACAGTAAGAAGCCACTTCAAATTTACTAAAATGGCTGAAATTTAAAAGACAGCACCCAATGTTGGTGAGGATGTGAGGCAGCAGGAAGCTCTCATATTTTGCTTGCAGACATAACAAATGGTGCAGGCATTTTGGAAAAAGTTTTGGCACTTTCTAAACGTTTGCCTACCCTAAGACTTTGCAAATCCACTCCTAGGTATTTCCCCAGGGAGACATGAAAACATATATCCAGTCTGTTCACACAAAGATTTGTATATGAATGTTCATGGAAGTTTTCTTCGTAAGAGCCCCAAACTGGAAACAACACAAATGGCCATCAACAGGAGACTGAGTAAGCAAACCCTTGTATATTGATACAATGGAATACAGGTTGGCAATAATATGGGAAAAAACCCTCAAAAACATATATTGATTGAAAGAAGTGAGACACAAAAGAGTTCCCACTGTGTGATTTCATTAATATGAAGTTCAATAACAGGGAAAACTAATGTATGTGATAGAAATCAGAGCAGTAGTTGCCGATGATGGCTGCAGATTGACTACAAGAGGGCATATGAAAGTTCTCTGGAGTGATGGAATTGTCTTCTAGCTCAACAGGTTTTGGTTATGTGGTTGTACACATTTGTCCAAGCTCATTGAATTTTACCCTTAAGAGCTATGCATTTCTGTGTCTGTGAATTTTACCTCAATAAAAATGTTTCTGATAAAGATTTCAATGTAGAAAGATAAAATAATAAAATTTAGGAGCATATTTTCACAACCTTGGGTGGGGAAAACTTCCTAAGCAAGATAAGAATCTGTGCTGCAATAAGAGATAGGTATATTAAACTTCAAAAAGCTTAAAAATATGTAAGGTTAAATATAACATAAACGAAAGCAAGAGATCGAAGACAAAAAGAAAACAATATTTCAACACCTATGAAAGGCAAAATTTAACAACTCTAATAAATGATGACTTCTAATAAATGGATATGAATAAGGCAGATAACCTAATAGAAAAAAATGGGCAAAGTGTATACACCAAAAAGTCACAAAAAGAAGAATGCAAGTAGCCAGTAAACTCACAAAAAGATGCTTTATTTCAGTAGTACTCAGGGAAATAAAAATTAAGCCATTAGTATGGTAAAAATGGGAATCTTTAGAAACACTATTAGTGAAAAGGGAAAATGGGTAGTTAATACACTGCTGGTTGAAATGTGAATTGCTACAACCTTTTGGGAAAGCATCTGGCAACATCTGACAAGGTTTAAAATATGTCACGTCGTTTGACCTTGTAATTTGGGAATCTATGTTATGAGAAAAAACACAAGTATGTAAGGATGGATGAGAAACAATGCCTATTTGTTGTTTTATAGTGGCAAGAAGAAAAAAAACTGAAAACAATGCGAATGAACATTGATAGGGGAATAGATGAATTAGAATAATTCATCTATTCCTCAATACAAATTGTTGCACCAATATTAAAAAGAGTGAATCAGATTTACATATATTGACCTGGGGGGATTCCAATGACACATTATTAAGGGAAAAAAGCAAGTTGGAGACTAATGTGTAACAGATTATCGCATTTCAGATTAAAAAGAAATGCAAATACAAATATACACTTTATTGGAGTATAAACATGGACTGCTACTGTTTTCTTCAATAATTGTCACATTTATATCCTTTTCAAATTTCCTTCCTGCTGAGTAATAGGAATGCTTTGTAATATTCAGCCCAATTCTATAACTCTTCAGTTTTTAGAATTTCATTTTGGTTCTCTAGACTCAGCCAGAGATTATGTATGAGCTGTACATTTTTGGCCCCAATCTCAACAATCAGATAAGTGGTTCCTCTTCTCTTCCAGAAGACCAAGAGGGTAGAATTGCTAATGGAAGTTTCTCAGGAGGGTGGATGTGTTGGTGCAAGCTTCTATTTTATGAATCTGGGCAGGACCTCAAGGAGAGAAGGAGGTTGGCTCACCCTACACTGATTGACATCCATTACTGATAAAAGATAGAATTTGTAGACTGCTGCCAATCATTCTACTTGCTTTTCACAAAATCAATTTTATTAATTTATTGTTAAATTGAGATTATTTAGAGTAGTAAAAAAATAAAAAAACTGGATAACTAGTCCCATGGCAGTATAAGAAAAAGACTATTCAGTAGAAAGAATATTAGTGAAGTTGAAAAAACTGCCTTCCTTAGGCCGGGTGCAGTGTAATCCCAGCACTTTGGGAGGCTGAGATGGGCGGATCACGAGGTCAGGAGATCGAGACCATCCTGGCTAACACGGTGAAACCCCGTCTCTACTAAAAATACAAAAAATTAGCTGGGTGTGGAACGTGGAAATTAGCGGGCACCTGTACTCCCAGCTACCCGGGAGGCTGAGGCAGGAGAATGGCATGAACCCGGGAGGCTAGAGCTTGCAGTTAGCCGAGATCATGTCACTGCACTCCAGCCTGGGCGACAGAGTGAGACTCCATCTCAAAAAAAAAAAAAGAAAAAAACTGCCTTCCTTAAAACCTTATGTAGAAATTATAACTCCTAGAGTCCAGTCTGTCTGTCTAGTAATAGAGGTAATAGAGGCCCCTTTGTGCTTTAGGGGTTCTCAAAGAATCAGAACTGATCTTATTACTGTAAATTTACTGTTTTTTCAAAGGACGTTTGGACTATTTTCAAGTCAGGCCTAAAATATAGATACAGGAAGCCAATTATGTCTACTTACCCTTTTTCCCTTTAAGCTATTTTCCTCTGGTTCTCTTGGTGGCCCTATTCCCTTCTCAAGTATACGTAGCAGTTGCCATTTCCTCCTTGGCCAAATTCCATACCAATGCTAGGGCATCTCTGTTGACTTCTCTTGGGTCTATTTTTCTTTAGTCCATAGATAAAACCTCTTTCCCAAGAGTCTGTTTTATATATATGTACATGGTTAAGATTATCGGCCGGGCACGGTGGGTCATGCTTGTAATCCCAGAACTTTGGGGGGCCGAGGTGGGTGGATTGCCTGAGGTCAGGAGTTTGAGACCAGTCTGGCCAACATGGTGAAACCCTGTCTCTACTAAAGATATGAAAAGAATTAGCCAGGTCTGGTGGCCTGTGCCTGTAATCCCAGCTACTTGGGAGGCTGGGGCAGGGGAATTGCTTGAACTAGGGGCATGGGGGTGGCAGTGAGCCAAGATTGTGCCACTGTACTCTAGCCTGGGCAACAGAGCAAGACTCCATCTCCCCCCAAAAAAAAAGATTATTTACTCCCTCCTCCCCACCCTGCAATGTCACTCTCCAAGGTAGCTGAGACCTTGGCACAGTAGCTGATGTCTTACGTACCTGATGTTGGCCTTGGCCATGATTCTGATTTCACAGAGTGGTCCATAAAGCTGGCAAGCTGCACAGTGGTGAGATGCCACATAAACAAAATTCACATACAGGATATCGCTACATAAGCAATTACCTTTGCTCTTGCCTTGATCCTATTGACACAATTCCCACTGCTTCTGCAAAAGAGAAAAAAAACTCAAAATGTTTTTTGAAAATTCATGATTCACAAGTATGTATCATAAAGCAAAGACACTTAGAGCTGGAAGGGACAGAGTCAGCCCCCTCATTTTATAGTCAAGGAAGCACAGGCCTAAGTGACTTATCCAAGGTCACACAGCTAGTTTATCAGCAAGGTCAGAACTAGACCATAGTATTTGCTGTTGTTGATTATTTGTGAAATCGAAAACAGAAATAGTGTAGGTAAGAAAATCATGATAGCCCATGTTTCTCTCTGCTCACTTAAAAGTATATCCCCAAGCAATCTGAAAGTTTAAAAACTGTGCTTAGTCATACTGTCCATTCCATCAATTTGGGAACGGTAAGAAGAAATCTCTTTGTAAAATACTTATGTCTTTGGTGTGTTAAGTCGCAATAGGTCTTTCGTAGATAACTGTAACTTATTGATTAATGTTTCTGTTTTCCTAACACCTTCACCACTCATTTAGGGAGTAGTTGGTAATTTTGTAATGGGCAGGTGCCTGGCTGCACACTAAAGTCACCTGGGGGAGTTTTTACAACATGCCAGTGCCACTGAGGACCACTGTTAGAGATTGACTTGATTGGTTTGGGGTGAGATCTAAGCATCACTGTTTTTAAAAGGACTGCTAGATGATTCTAGGGTACAGCCAGAGCAAAAAACTATTATGCTAGAGTAATAGTTCTCGAAGTGTGCCCCGGGTCCAGAGGGATAAGTGTCATCTGGAGACTTGCCCAAATGCAGACTCCCAGATCCTTCCCCAAACCTACTGAGTCGGACAGAAGCTCTGAAGGTGGGGTCCAGCAAGCAGTGTTTTAAATAAGCTCCCCAGGTGATGGTAGTGAATGCTAAAGTTCAAGAAACCACTGGTCTAGCCCAGGGATGGGAAAAGTATGGGGCCTATTTTTGTAAATGAAGTTTAACGGGAACATGATCACACCCATTCATTTGTATATATTACAATGACAGGGTTCAGTAGTTGTGACCTAGACCATATGACCTTCAAGGCCTAAAATGTGTATTCTCTGTCCCTTGAAAGAAAAGGTTTCCTGATCCCAGAACTGTGCTTTTCAAATTTTAATGTACGTATGCGTCACTTGGGGATCTTGTCAAATTGCAGAATTTAGTTTGGTAGGCCTGGGATAGGACCTGAAATTCTGCATTTAACAGCTCCCAGGTGATGCTCAGGTTGAATAGAAGGGTATAGAGCAATATTCTCCAGTAGATTACAGGCTTAGGCTTGTAATCCCAGCACTCTGGGAGGCCGAGGTGAGTGGATCATATGAGATCAGGAGTTCCAGACCAGCCTGGCTAACATGGCGAAACCCTGTCTCTACTAAAAATACAAAAATTAGCCAGGTACGGTGGCATGCGCCTGTAGTCCCAGCTACTTGGGGGGCTGAGGCAGGAGAATCACTTGAATCCGGGAGGTGGAGGTTGCAGTGAGCCAAGATCATGCCACTGCACTCCATCCTGGGCAACAGAGTGAGACTCTGTCTCAAAAAAAAAAAAAAAAAAAAAAAAAAAAATGAAAGGAAGGAGGGAAGGAAAGAAGGAAGGAAGGAAATACAATGTGAGCCACAGATACCAGTTTAAATTTTCAAGCAGTCACAATAAAAAAATAAAAACAGGTGAAGTTAATTTGAGTAATATACTTTAACTCAATGTATCTAGAATATTATCACTTAAACATCTAATTAATGTTCAAAGTACTAATGAGATATTTTATGTTCTTTTTTGTATTAAGTCTTTGAAATCTGGTATTTTACACTGACATCTCAATTGTAGCTACATTTCAAGTGCCACGTGTGAATGGTGGCTACCAAATTGGTCAGTGCAGTCTACAGTTCAACTGGTATTTGGGGTGATAGGGAGTTTTTGATTTAGTTAAGTATGAAGGCAAATAGAGAAAGGAGACTAAGAGAAACCATACAACTTAACTTAAGGGAGGAGACCACCCCTCATATTGTCTTATGCCCAATTTCTGCCTCCAAAGAAAGAAGTAAAAACTAAAAGGCAGAAATGAAATCCACAAGCAGACAGCCCGACGCCACACCCTGGGCCTGGTAGTTAAAGATCGACCTCTGACCTAATCGGTTATGTTATCTATAGATTACAGACATTGTATAGAAAAGCACTGTGAAAATCCATGTCCTGTTCTGTTCCGATCTAATTACCGGTGCCTGCAGCCTCCACTCACATACCCCCTGCTTGCTCAATCGATCACAACCCTCTCAAGCAGACCCCCTTAGAGTTGTGAGCCCTTTTAAGGGACAGGAATTGCTCACTCAGGGAGCTCGGCTCTTGAGACAGGAGTCTTGCCGACGCTCCTGGCCTAATAAACTGCTTCCTTCTTTAACTCGGTGTCGGGGGGTTTTGTCTGCGGCTTGTCCTGCTACAAACTCACTTCAGAATTTTGCTCACATTTGACCTGGAGCTCAACAATCTCTTCCTCTTTACTCTGTGACTCTGGAGGCAGGGGAATTCTATAGCTTATGTATATTACAGGCGAGGGATGTAAGTGATGTGTTTAATGGACTGAGCTGGTCCACTGTGATTTAAAATATTATTACAGGAGAATATGATATGAATTTGAATTCTCAAATACTTCCGTGAATAAAGAGGATATATTCCAAGAACACTTAATTTTCATGATCTTGAATTCTTTCTAGCTGAGCTGAGAAGGTGCCAGGGATTAAGGTTAATTTCCTTGAAATGGGGAGGTGTTCCAGGCTTGGACCAAGGAAAGTTTTATTTCTGAGTTACCAGTTTGTGGAAACATCACAGCAGGAAGGAGCATGCTAGATGGAGTTTAGAAAAAACAAAGCCAGAAGATCCAGAGCCAAAAGATCAGTTGGCCTAGAAAGTCAAAGTAGGAGGGGAGGCAGAGAATGAAAATGGCGGGGGCGGGGGGGCAAAAAGAGTCAGAAGTGGGATAGTCAGAGGCAGGTTGAGGTACTGACAGGTTGGAAGGAAGTCTGGGTTTATTTAACCACAGGCTGCTGTGGTTACACCACTACCCCTTTCACTCTGAGGGGGAACAAAGAGAATGCTGAGCAGTACTAGAGGTAACAATAAGAAGGAGGGATGGGAGCCCATTGCAAAATGTGGATTCCTTGCCTGTTCTTGCTTGATCCCCCATCACAGAATTGAAGTCAATATTTTAAGCAAAAACGCTGCTCTTGGTCTGAAGAGCCTGGTTACAAAACATTAGGTGGAGACATGACTGGTTAGAAAGAGAGAAGAGAGTTTGGGCAGAGGGAGAATATGTGTTAGGGAAGAATATGTGTTAGGAAGAATATGTGTTAGGGAATGGAAAGTACAGTAATTTCCTATGGCTGCTGTAACAAATTACCACAGACTTCATGGCTTAAAACAACACACATTTATGATCTTACAATTCTGGAAGTCAGAAGTCTGAAATTTTTAGTCAGAGGGCTAAAAATCAAAGGATCAGGAAGGCCACCTTCCTTCTGGAGGCTCAAGAGGAGAGCGTTTCTTTGCGCTCCTCTATTTCTGGGAGCCAACTGCGTTCCTTGGATCATGGTGCCTTCTCCATCTTCAAAGCACATCACTCCAGCCACTGCTTCTGTCTCTCCACCTCCCTCTTCTGACTCTGATCCTCTCACTTCCCTCCCAGGAGGACCCTTGTGATTACACCAAACCCACCTGGATAATCTAGGGTAATCTCTCCATTTTAAGGTCCATAGCTTAGTCACAGCTGCAAAATCCTTTGAACCATGTAAGGTAATAGGTTCTGGGGTTTAGGATGTGGATGGACATCTGTGGGACCATGAGTCAGTCTACCACAGGAGGTCGGTATTGTGTCTGTTTCAGTTTTCAATGCTCTGATCAGCATTTTAAAGACTTGTGTCTGGAGGGAGGAGCCAAGATGGCTGAATAGGAACAGCTCGGGTCTACAGCTCCCAGCGTGAGCGACGCAGAAGATGGGTGATTTCTGCATTTCCATCTGAGGTACCAGGTTCATCTCACTAGGGAGTGCCAGACAGTGGGTGCAGGTCAGTGGGTGCATGCACCGTGCGCGAGCCGAAGCAGGGCGAGGCATTGCCTCACTTGGGAATAGCAAGGGTTCAGGGAGTTCCCTTTCCCAGTCAAAGAAAGGGGTGATGGACGCACCTGGAAAATCGGGTCACTCCCACCCGAATACTGCGCTTTTCCGACCGGCTTAAAAAAACGGCGCACCACGAGATTATATCCCACACCTGGCTCGGAGGGTCCTACGCCCATGGAGTCTCGCTGATTGCTAGCACAGCAGTCTGAGATCAAACTGCAAGGCGGCAGCGAGGCTGGGGGAGGGGCACCTGCCATTGCCCAGGCTTGCTTAGGTAAGCAAAGCAGCCGGGAAGCTGGAACTGGGTGGAGCCCACCACAGCTCAAGGAGGCCTGCCTGCCTCTGTAGGCTCCACCTCTGGGGGCAGGGCACAGACAAACAAAAAGACAGCAGTAACCCTGCAGACTTAAATGTCCCCGTCTGACAGCTTTGAAGAGAGCAGTGGTTCTCCCAGCATGCAGCTGGAGATCTGAGAACGGGCAGACTGTCTCCTCAAGTGGTTCCCTGACACCTGACCCCCGAGCAGCCTAACTGGGAGGCACCCCCCAGCAGGGGCACACCGACACCTCACATGGCAGGGTATTCCAACAGACCTGCAGCTGAGGGTCCTGTCTGTTAGAAGGAAAACTAACAAACAGAAAGGACATCCACACCAAAAACCCATCTGTACATCATCATCATCAAAGACCAAAAGTAGATAAATCCACAAAGATGGGGAAAAAACAGAACAGAAAAACTGGAAACTCTAAACAGCAGAGCGCCTCTCCTCCTCCAAAGGAACGCAGTTCCTCACCAGCAATGGAACAAAGCTGGATGGAGAATGACTTTGACGAGCTGAGAGAAGAAGGCTTCAGACGATCAAATTACTCTGAGCTATGGGAGGACATTCGAACCAAAGGCAAAGAAGTTGAAAACTTTGAAAAAAATTTAGAAGAATATATAACTAGAATAACCAATACAGAGAAGTGCTTAAAGGAGCTGATGGAGCTGAAAACCAAGGCTTGAGAACTACGTGAAGAATGCAGAAGCCTGAGGAGCTGATGCAATCAACTGGAAGAAAGGGTATCAGCAATGGAAGATGAAATGAATGAAATGAAGCGAGAAGGGAAGTTTAGAGAAAAAAGAATAAAAAGAAATGAGCAAAGCCTGCAAGAAATATGGGACTATGTGAAAAGACCAAATCTACGTCTGATTGGTGTACCTGAAAGTGATGGGGAGAATGGAACCAAGTTGGAAAACACTCTGCAGGATATTATCCGGGAGAAATTCCCCAATCTAGCAAGGCAGGCCAACGTTCAGATTCAGGAAATACAGAGAACGCCACAAAGATACTCCTCGAGAAGAGCAACTCCAAGACACATAATTGTCAGATTCACCAAAGTTGAAATGAAGGAAAAAATGTTAAGGGCAGCCAGAGAGAAAGGTCGGGTTACCCACAAAGGGAAGCCCATCAGACTAACAGCAGATCTCTTGGCAGAAACCCTACAAGCCAGAAGAGAGTGGGGGCCAATATTCAACATTCTTAAAGAAAAGAATTTTCAACCCAGAATTTCATATCCAGCCAAACTAAGCTTCATAAGTGAAGGAGAAATAAAATACTTTACAGACAAGCAAATGCTGAGAGATTTTGTCACCACCAGGCCTGCCCTAAAAGAGCTCCTGAAGGAAACGCTAAACATGGAAAGGAACAACCGGTACCAGCCACTGCAAAATCATGCCAAAATGTAAAGACCATCGAGACTAGGAAGAAACTGCATCAACTAATGAGCAAAATCACCAGCTAGCATCATAATGACAGGATCAAATTCACACATAACAATATTAACTTTAAATGTAAATGGACTAAATGCTCCAATTAAAAGACACAGACTGGCAAATTGGATAAAGAGTCAAGACCCAACAGTGTGCTGTGTTCAGGAAACCCATCTCACGTGCAGAGACACACATAGGCTCAAAATAAAAGGATGGAGGAAGATCTACCAAGCAAATGGAAAACAAAAAAAGGCAGGGGTTGCAATCCTAGTCTCTGATAAAACAGACTTTAAACCAACAAAGATCAAAAGAGACAAAGAAGGCCATTACATAATGGTAAAGGGATCAATTCAACAAGAAGAGCTAACTATCCTAAATATATATGCACCCAATACAGGAGCACCCAGATTCATAAAGCAAGTCCTGAGTGACCTACAAAGAGACTTAGACTCCCACACATTAATAATGGGAGACTTTAACACCCCACTGTCAACATTAGACAGATCAACGAGACAGAAAGTCAACAAGGATACCCAGGAATTGAACTCAGCTCTGCACCAAGCGGACCTAATAGACATCTACAGAACTCTCCACCCCAAATCAATAGAATATACATTTTTTTCAGCACCACACCACACCTATTCCAAAATTGACCACATACTTGGAAGTAAAGCTCTCCTCAGCAAATGTAAAAGAACAGAAATTATAACAAACTATCTCTCAGACCACAGTGCAATCAAACTAGAACTCAGGATTAAGAATCTCACTCAAAACCGCTCAACTACATGGAAACTGAACAACCTGCTCCTGAATGACTACTGGGTACATAACGAAATGAAGGCAGAAATAAAGATGTTCTTTGAAACCAACGAGAACAAAGGCACAACATACCAGAATCTCTGGGACGCATTCAAAGCAGTGTGTAGAGGGAAATTTATAGCACTAAATGCCCACAAGAGAAAGCAGGAAAGATCCAAAATTGACACCCTAACATCACAATTAAAAGAACTAGAAAAGCAAGAGCAAACACATTCAAAAGCTAGCAGAAGGCAAGAAATAACTAAAATCAGAGCAGAACTGAAGGAAATAGAGACACAAAAAACCCTTCAAAAAATTAATGAATCCAGGAGCTGGTTTTTTGAAAAGATCAACAAAATAGATAGACCGCTAGCAAGACTAATAAAGAAAAAAAGAGAGAAGAATCAAATAGACGCAATAAAAAATGATAAAGGGGATATCACCACCGATCCCACAGAAATACAAACTACCATCATAGAATACTACAAACACCTCTATGCAAATAAACCAGAAAATCTAGAAGAAATGGATAAATTCCTCGACACATACACTCTCCCAAGACTAAAGCAGGAAGAAGTTGAATCTCTGAATGGACCAATAACAGGATCTGAAATTGTGGCAATAATCAATAGCTTACCAACCAAAAAGAGTCCAGGACCAGATGGATTCACAGCCGAATTCTACCTGAGGTACAAGGAGGAACTGCTACTATTCCTTCTGAAAGTATTCCAATCAGTAGAAAAAGAGGGAATCCTCCCTAACTCATTTTATGAGGCCAGCATCGTTCTGATACCAAAGCTGGGCAGAGACACAACCAAAAAAGAGAATTTTAGACCAATATCCTTGATGAACATTGATGCAAAAATCCTCAATAAAATACTGGCAAAACGAATCCAGCAGCACATCAAAAAGCTTATCCACCATGATCAAATGGGCTTCATCCCTGGGATGCAAGGCTGGTTCAATATACGCAAATCAATAAATGTAATCCAGCATATAAACAGAGCCAAAGACAAAAACCACATGATTATCTCAGTAGATGCAGAAAAAGCCTTTGACAAAATTCAACAACCCTTCATGCTAAAAACTCTCAATAAATTAGGTATTGATGGGACATATTTCAAAATAATAAGAGCTATCTATGACAAACCCACAGCCAATATCATACTGAATGGGCAAAACTGGAAGCATTCCCTTTGAAAACTGGCACAAGACAGGGATGCCCTCTCTCACTACTCTTATTCAACATAGTGTTGGAAGTTCTGGCCAGGGCAATTAGGCAGGAGAAGGAAATAAAGGGTATTCAATTAGGAAAAGAGGAAGTTAAATTGTCCCTGTTTGCAGACGACATGATTGTATATCTAGAAAACCCCATTGTCTCAGCCCAAAATCTCCTTAAGCTGATAAGCAACTTTAGCAAAGTCTCAGGGTACAAAATCAATATACAAAAATCACAAGCATTCTTATACACCAACAACAGACAAACAGAGAGCCAAATCATGAGTGAGCTCCCATTCACAATTGCTTCAAAGAGAATAAAATACCTAGGAATCCAACTTACAAGGGATGTGAAGGACCTCTTCAAGGAGAACTACAAACCACTGCTCAAGGAAATAAAAGAGGATACAAACAAATGGAAGAACATTCCATGCTCATGGGTAGGAAGAATCAATATCGTGAAAATGGTCATACTGCCCAAGGTAATTTACAGATTCAATGCCATTCCCATCAAGCTACCAATGCCTTTCTTCACAGAATTGGAAAAAACTACTTTAAAGTTCATATGGAACCAAAAAAGAGCACGCATCTCCAAGTCAATCCTAAGCCAAAAGAACAAAGCTGGAGGCATCACACTACCTGACTTCAAACTATACTACAAGGCTACAGTAACCAAAACAGCATGGTACTGGTACCAAAACAGAGATATAGATCAATGGAACAGAACGGAGCCCTCAGAAATAACGCCACATATCTACAACTATCTGATCTTTGACAAACCTGAGAAAAACAAGCAATGGGGAAGGATTCCCTATTTAATAAATGGTGCTGGGAAAACTGGCTAGCCATATGTAGAAAGCTGAAACTGGATCCCTTCCTTACACCTTATACAAAAATCAATTCAAGATGGATTAAAGACTTAAACGTTAGACCTAAAACCATAAAAACCCTAGAAGAAAACCTAGGCATTACCATTCAGGACATAGGCATGGGCAAGGACTTCATGTCTAAAACACCAAAAGCAATGGCAACAAAAGCCAAAATTGACAAATGGGATCTAATTAAACTAAAGAGCTTCTGCACAGCAAAAGAAACTACCATCAGAGTGAACAGGCAACCTACAAAATGGGAGAAAATTTTTGCAACCTACTCATCTGACAAAGGGCTAATATCCAGAATCTACAATGAACTCCAACAAATTTACAA
This sequence comes from Homo sapiens, assembly GCF_000001405.40. Lineage (NCBI taxonomy): Eukaryota > Metazoa > Chordata > Mammalia > Primates > Hominidae > Homo > Homo sapiens. The sequence continues at coordinate 100,695,883 of NC_000009.12, forward strand.
GAAAAAAACAAACAACCCCATCAAAAAGTGGGCGAAGGACATGAACAGATATTTGTCAAAAGAAGACATTTATGCAGCCAAAAAACACATGAAAAAATGCTCATCATCACTGGCCATCAGAGAAATGCAAATCAAAACCACAATGAGATACCATCTCCCACCAGTTAGAATGGCAATCATTAAAAAGTCAGGAAACAACAGGTGCTGGAGAGGATGTGGAGAAATAGGAACACTTTTACACTGTTGGTGGGACTGTAAACTAGTTCAACCATTGTGGATGTCAGTGTGGCGATTCCTCAGGGATCTAGAACTAGAAATACCATTTGACCCAGCCATCCCATTACTGGGTATATACCCAAAGGACTATAAATCATGCTGCTATAAAGACACATGCACACGTATGTTTATTGCGGCATTATTCACAATAGCAAAGACTTGGAACCAACCCAAATGTCCAACAATGATAGACTGGATTAAGAAAATGTGGCACATATACACCATGGAATACTATGCAGCCATAAAAAATGATGAGTTCATGTCCTTTGTAGGGACATGGATGAAATTGGAAGTCATCATTCTCAGTAAACTATTGCAAGAACAAAAAACCAAACACCGCATATTCTCACTCATAGGTGGGAATTGAACAATGAGATCACATGGACACAGGAAGGGGAATATCACACTCTGGGGACTGTGGTGGGGTGGGGGGAGGGGGGAGGGATAGCAGTGGGAGATATACCTAATGCTAGATGACGAGTTAGTGGGTGCAGCGCACCAGCATGGCACATGTATACATATGTAACTAACCTGCACAATGTGCACATGTACCCTAAAACTTAAAGTATAATAAAAAATAAATAAGTAAATTAAAAAAAAAAAGACTTGTGTCTGAATGTCAAGGAGAGAGCCTATGAGAAGGGGTTTAAACTCAGAAACCTGCAAGAGTCAGGAAGATAATAAAAACATGAGAAGCAGAGTGCAAAACAGTAGGCAGTGGTGGGCACTGTGCATGAACTAGAGACTGCATGCCTGTCTAAAGGGGGATAAGGCATCTTATCTATTTAATGAGGTGGAAGACAAGGTGATCCTCAGCTTCAGCTACTAGGTGGGCAGATAGGCAATAATATCAGATTCAGTTTTTCAAGAGAAGCTTTTAAATGAAGACTTTAGACAATGGTGTGTTGGGAAGTGTTCAATAACAAAATGTGTGTGTATGTGTGCGTATGCATATATGCAATATGTATTATAAATTTTACTGATATATAGAATGCATTGTAGCATACAATTTGAAAATACTCATAAAATTTAAAATACTGTGTGACTTGCTATTTCTTACTAAATCCATTATCAGGTTTTATAATTCTACCACCAACAACAGGGTCACATAACCAGACTATGAATAAAAGCTTGATTATTAGTGAAGTTCTAACATATCTTCGTTGTTTCACTTTTGTTGTTTTGTTATGGTTCATGAAAGTATCAACCAACATTCATATTATAACTATACTTGTTTATCAGGGAGATGAGTTACTTCTTTTCTGAACTGGATAATAGTTTTCAGATACTGGAAGAATATTTTGTCTATTTTTTGTGCTATTCACAATGTAAAGACTACAGACATAACACAGTTTTAAGTTTAATCTGCATTGTTAGCATTTTCTCCCTTACTTTCTTAAGCCTAGACAATCAACAAACAATGAACCAAGACCTTATTTGTAATGTTTGCCTATTTCTGTGGTGTCAATACCCTCATCACATGGCTTAGTTCAAGCCACCAAAGGATGTTATGTGGAATTATAAGAGACGTGCAATGGCATTCCATTAGATAGCATTTTCACTCTACAGATACAATAGGTATAAATTACTACAAGAACATAGGCCACAGTAAATTGTAATAAAATAATTAGCAAGTGATAAATTTTGAATATTTATTACCTTTACAAAATTTTATTTTTTAATAGCTTTAGGCTGGGCGTGGTGGCTCATGCCTGTTATCCCAGCACCTGTAGTCCTAGCTACTCTGGAGGCTGAGGTGGGAGGATCGCTTGAGCCTAAGAGGTCGAGGTTGCAGTGAGCTATGATTGTGCCACTTCACTCCAGCCTGGGTGACAGAGTGAAAACCTGTCTCAAACAAACAAACAAATGAACAATCAAACCCAGCTTTATTGAGATATAATTTGTATACCACAAAATTCACCCTTTGCATTCTAAAAATTTTAGTATGTTTACCAACTTGCACAATCATCACCACAACCTAATTGTTGCCTTTGTTTTAATAGAATTTATTTAGATGTATGTTTATATGACTTAAGTTTTAATGGCAGCTATGTATAACAGCCACTCACAAAATTCTTGAAAATGTAACCCTTAGCTCTTGCGAGTGGTTCTTCAGCACATCATTGATTTCATGTAAAATCTAATTCTAAAACATTGGCTCAATGTAAAAAGCAAAAACAAAAGCACACCAGCAATTTAGGTCTGGCTGAAAGGTTCATGATTTTGTGGTCTCTGTAAAATGAGAAATGAGCAGTGAGACTAGACGTTATGCAAGGAAGACCCCTGGGGTCACTGGGGGCCTGAGTGAGCTTTGCTTCCTCAGCCCCCTGCGTGAGTGTGGCACAGGAGGTACGTGGGACTCTCCCCCTTCAATATGCGGAACTGGGGGCAGTGAAGGTGCTGTTATGCCAAGCCTCAGTGGAGGCCTCCATGGGCGAAACCCTCAGTGGTGGGAGAGGCAGAGGCTGTGGCAAGGGGTCTTCATTCCTGCAGGTTTTCCTGGAGACTCTGGGGGAAACAGAGCAGGAGTAGAGGAAGAATGGAAGCTGCCACGTGAAGGTTGAGACATTTATAAGACATCCCAATTGGGATTCTCAAAATAGTTGGGATGATTTCTTTGGGGGAAGAGGGAAGATTCTGATGCCCTGGCATCTTTGTGAGGGTGTGTTAAAGTCACACTATATCTGGAAGGATTCTTATATTGGATGACTATATAATTTATATCCCAACCTGACGCACTTTGGAGAGTGAAAGTGAGTGTTATTAATAAAATAGCCAGGATATCAGGCATAAATTGGGACTGTTGTGGACAAACCAGATATGTGGCCACTTTACTTATAAAGGATCTAAGCTCATGGTTCTTGAAGGGGAGGAGCCATATCCAGTGAGGGACTTTTTCAAAATAAGCATGGAATTGGGAGTGGGATGAGCCTGGGCTGCGGAGGGCAGTTGTTTGCCAGAATTCAGTGCCAGGAGGGTGTGTAGTTCCCAGCAGCTCTCCAAGTGACTTTCTTGTCTCCTCCACCCTGAAGTCCACTCCATATAAGAACACAGAGGATCACAGGGCACTAGAATCATATGGTGGCTGAGCTTGGCACACAGCCTGGCACAGAGAAGGTGTTGATTGTTTATTGACTGCCTAACATAAGTCATGTGTCTTGATTTTTGGTCTGCTATCCTTTCTAGGAATTCTGTCAGTTTCTGGGCAAAGCAGCTGGAAGCTTCTGTGTGTGTGAGTGTGTGTGTGTGCATGTGTGTGTGTTGATTGCATGCACAGGATCCAGTGAGGGAGGAGTTGGTCTCACAATCCTGCAGACAATTCCCACCTCAGCTGTGACCTTGCCTGTTCTTCCCTTGCCCCTGTGACTCACCTGTGCAGTTCCTAAGGAGATGGATATAACCCCATCCCAGCATGACTAGACTGCCTTTGTTAGAAATTACTTTGCTCCAGGAGACTCTGAGCACAAACCTATTCTTAAGCTTGTACTGGTAGCCCCATGCCTGTAAGGTGCTGGGGAGAAAGACCACGTGAGAGAGAGAGGTAGCCTGGAAGCAAAGGACCATAAAATAGCACCTCCAGTCTCAGCGTAACCGTTCACGTGATGCGATACAGGCACCATATTTTCTGGGTCTAGCATGTCAGTAAATAATATGCCACAGATGTTGCTGAATATTTTATGATTAACGTGCCCCAGGAGTCCCTAAATGTTTTATAATTTCTGGGTAAAGAAAAAAAGCATCCAGCACTGTGCACTCTTAGCAGCAAGCTCAGAATTATTATGATGCCTAAGGTGGGAGGCATTCCCTCTTCTCATAATCACACTTTCAATGGTTACAAAGGTTAAAGCGTCAGTTCAGGGTGAACAGTGCAAACACAGGAACGTAGCATCTAACAGGAGGGGCAGAGACTAATTTCAGGACCACTATAATGACTCCATGGCTTGAATATGGATATAATCAGTCTTGAAAGATGAGACTGATGTCTCTGGCTTTTTTGGATTGAAGCCCTTTTTGGATTGATCTGTGGAGCAGGAGTGTTTTCTTTATGATGGGGAGGTACAGTTGTTTGTTTATAAGGGATGCATTTATCTCAAGAATTGGTTTCCTCTGTCATTCTCAGCAAACTAACACAGGAACAGAAAACCAAACACCACATGTTCTCACTCATAGGTGGGAGCTGAGCAATGAAAACACATGGACACAGGGAGGGGAACATCACACACCAGGGCCTATCGGGGGTGGGGGGCTAGGGGAGGGATAGCATTAAGAGAAATACCTAATGTAGATGATGGGTTGATGGGTGCAGCAAACCACCATGGCACATGTATACCTATGTAACAAACCTGGACGTTCTGCACGTGTACCCCAGAACTTAAAGTATAATAATTAAAAAAAAAAAGACCTGGACTTTAAGGTCAAATAGATGTGGATTTAAATCTAGCTCCCTGATCTGCAGATGCTTATTTGTGAAATTAATATAAGTCCTATTTTTCAGAGTTGTTATGAAGATACAATAAAAAAGGTATCTAAAAAAAATTGGTTTCCTCCTAAGAAGTAAATCTTCATGGCCCTCTATATTTAACACACCTCTACATTGTTTAAACAGCAGAGGGCGCCCTATTGACAGCAAACTTACACCCAACAGCGGGGACCAAATGGTCTCAGGGGTGTGTGTACCCTTAATCTACCTCTGCATATACCTTCAGTGAACTCAGAGTGGAATCTGGCTCCGCAGGTCAGGGTAGGAGACAAGGTAAAATTAGAGAGCTGTGGAGGAGGGGTGAAACAGTGTGGGGTCATGGTGAATGAAGCCCATGGACTTAGGGCACATGATTGCAGATTCAAATTCCAGCATTGCTTCTTACTAGCTCTGTGTCCTTGAGTTATTTGTCCTCCCTTCAGTTTCCTTATTAATACAGTGGTGATAGATACTTGTTTGTAAAGCCCTTGGCCCAATGCCTGGCCTATGCGAATTACCCAATAAATATTAACTTAAAAAAAAAAAAGCAAGCAAGTAAACACTCTCAGGTTCTGACTAGGAGAAGATAGAAGCAGAAAATGAGCAGGGAGCCTATTCGCCCACAAGCCTGGAATGACTCATTCTGGAAAATGTTACACAGACTAAGGATTGATATATATGCTCATTTACTGATTTTAAACAATCCTTTATTGGTTGCAAATAGGTTTTGCTTATTTTATAATTGTTTTCCATTTATTTGGGAGGTGCTGGTACTTTTTCACACCAAAATGATTTGACAGTGTAAAATTCTAAAATAGAAGTCTGAAATCATACTATGAAATAATTCTTTTTTTTTCAGGGAGTAATTGGATATGACCAAGAAAAACAGCTAATTTAAAGAAAAGTGATGTAAACTATTGGGACATCTTTCTAAACCTCGCTTCAGATTTTGGGGTTTGAAGATGCAAAGGAAATGGCTCCTCGTCATTCTTCAATTTGAATGATGGGGACCTCCCTTGACATAGTTGATAGAATTTCAGAGCAGGAAGTGTCCTTAAGGGTCTCACACTTTAATAAGTACCCTTACCCACCCCTTCCGCCCCCCACACTCCCCACCCAATTAAATAAATATCTCTTGGTGTGAGGCTAGGTTATCAGCACTGTTACAAGCTTCTCATGCAATTCTTATATGCAACGGTACTGTGAACCTTTGATCTATGCCCATCATTTTACAGCTGGGGAAAGTACTTTTTGCTAGTGGGGAAGATATTTGCCTATCCTCCAAGCAGCCTTCAAAATGATGGTCTTAAAACAGAAATTTAGCAGATTAAAAGCCCTCAATGCCCTCTCTGCTCTCCCATCTCTCTCCAGCTTTCAGGACAAAGTTCAGGACTTCCAGTTAAATCACAATTCCTTTCAGTATTTGCCTCAGTTTTTCTATTCCCCTTACCTCACTTCCTACACCCTTCTCTCTAGTCAGGCCCAACTGCTTGCAGTTCTGGAATGTGGGGTGGCGCTGCCCAGTGTCATATCTTAACAAATGCCTTTCCTTCCTCCTGCTAGGCTGTCTTTATCTCTTTCTTCATTTTCAAAATGCAGCTCAAGCTGAGACATCCAAGTAGTGAGGGAAAGAGGGAGCATTAGTGGTTGATATCCTGTGTCAAAACATCGTGGATTTTTTTTTTTTTAAAGACTGGGAAAGTTCCTCGAGATTCTCTAAGTTCAAGCTCAGACGCTTTCAGGGCTAGGCTGGTATCGTAAATGTGTGAAGGAAAACCGGATATGAGACAAAAAGGTGACAGGACCCTGGCCATCTGGAGAGCAGGTGTCCCATTTAAAGGTGATTAAATTCAACTTTTTGAGAAGCACTGAACGTTCAGCCCAGGAGCTACCAATTTGCCACCCCTCCAATCACCCTGGTTTACAGAGAAACTGAGAGCCCATGTGAGTCAGCTGAGGACTTGGTTGTATACAGCAACGGGAGAGCCCAGGCCTTCTGAATCCAGGTTCAATCTTCTTCATAGCATGCAATAAACCTTTGGCACATTTTCCTTCTCAATTTTATTGCATTTATTCCACATAATAATAAAGACCAACATTTATACAATGGTATACAATTAGTAAAAAAGAGCCCTCGCTTTATTTTAAAAACTGCAGATCAGGAAGGTGCTATAGAAACATGTATATTACTTCCTGTTGGACTTCTTGTCTACAGAGGCAGAAGGCAACCTTCATTAGGTCTGCCTGGAAGCCGGTCTCAGCTCCAGTGATATTCTAGTCTGAGACCATGTAGGGGGCAAGTGAATCCTTGCCAAGCTTCTCTCCCCACTCACAGTTACTGTGCAATGAAATCTTATCTCTGATGTCTGATTTATGGATTACCCTCTCTAGGCTGCCTGGATGGATTTTATCCCTTAAGGATTATTAAAAATAAAAACATCTTGCCGGGCGCGGTGGCTCACGCCTATAATCCCAGCACTTTGGGAGGCCGAGGCGGGCGGATCACGAGGTCAGGAGATTGAGACCATCCTGGCTAACACGGTGAAACCCCGTCTCTACTAAAAATACAAAAACAATTCTCCGGGCGTGGTGGTGGGCGCCTGTAGTCCCAGCTACTCGGGAGGCGGAGGCAGGAGAATGGTGTGAACCCGGGAGACGGAGCTTGCAGTGAGCTGAGATCACGCCACTGCACTCCAGCCTGGGCGACAGAGCTACATCCGTCTCAAAAATAAATAAATAAATAAATACAAACATCTTACCTAGCCTTATTTTCTAGAAGAAAGAGGTTTGTTCAACCAGACAAAAGTATACACTGAAATGTCAGTGTTATCCTCCTATGTGACCGAGACGGAGGCTGAACATTTTCTCTGGCTTGGTGGATCGCTCCTGTACTGGCTGGGTACCTAAAGCATCCCCTTTGGGAGAGAGGAAAGGCTTTGCTCTCACACGTGGACACCCTGGGCTCATTGGTCTGCTTCAGGGGTCACGGTCCAAACGAAGGTGTGGAGACTACGTGGATCTGCTCTTGGCTTTTCTGAAAGAAGCTGCTCTCAATTCCCAGTTTCTATTTACCTCAAGAGACAACTATACAAATAGCTATGTTGGCTTCTTTGCTAAAGGATTCACTGTTGTAGACAGAGGAGAGTCTTACATACATCATGCCATCAGCAGGGGTGGGAAGTAGATAGCAGAAATAAGGAGAAAAGGGAGTGTGGTGTGCAGGGTATTATGTATCTTGATTGGTCAGTAGATGGCACAGGCTTGGAGTGGAGGGGCTGAGATTTAGGGATATCTATTATTTATCAAGGTGACTCTCCCTTTCCTCCACATTAAAGCATCTCATAATAGATGGGAGACCTCCCTCCTTCCCGGACACTTATCATCCCTCTGTCTTGTTGTTATGTTGTGGTTACCAATAGTGGTATGAGATACAGTTTGTTATGTTGTGGTTACCAATAGTTTATGAGATACAGACAACTCCCCTGCCCAGTACTCCTGAATGGCCAGGTGTGTCTGTGTTCATGCTGTGGTCACAGAAAGGGAAAACTCTCCTTGCAAAGCAGATGAGTCTGTGTTTCAGGCAAACACTTTAATGTCACTTTCTTGCCTTGAAAGTCTAGATTGAAGAAATACGCATATTTGCAATACAAGGAAAAAATATAAATTTAAAAGAAAAATAAAACCATAAGAATGAAGGAACAGTAAATTATCTTTTTACTCTATAGAGGGAAAGGACAAATTATAGAGTTGTTTTAAATAGCAAGATGTCCAATAATTTTGAAAATATTTCCCTTTAGGTACAACTTTTAAGAAACACAATGGTATTTTTTTGTGTAGTATTTATATTATTTTCACTTTTCATTTTATTTCATTTTTTAATTATACTTTAAGTTCTAGGGTACATGTGCACAACGTGCAGGTTTGTTACATAGGTATACATGTGCCATGTTGGTTTGCTGCACCCATCAACTCGTCATTTATATTAGGTATTTCTCTAATGCTATCCCTCCCCCAGACCGCACCCCCTGACAGGCCCAGTGTGTGATGTTCCCTGTGCTGTGTCCACGTGTTCTCATTGTTCAACTCCCACCTGTGAGTGAGAACATGTGGTATTTGGTTTTCTGTCCTTGTGATAGTTTGCTTAAAATGATGGTTTCCAGCTTCATCCATGTCCCTGCAAAGGACATGAACCCATCCTTTTTTATGGTTGCATAGTATTTCATGTCATATAAGTGCCACATTTTCTTAATCCAGTTTATCATTGATGGACATTTGGGTTGGTTCCAAGTCTTTGGTATTGTGAATAGTGCCACAATAAACGTGTGCATGTGTCTTTATAGCAGCATGATTTATAATCCTTTGGGTGTATACCCAGTAATGGGATGGCTGGGTCAAATGGTATTTCTAGTTCTAGATCCTTGGGGAATTGCCACACTGTCTTCCACAATGGTAGAACTAATTTACACTCCCACCAACAGTGTAAAGTGTTGCTATTTCTCCACATCCTCTCCAGCATCTGTTGTTTCCTGACTTTTTAATGATCACCATTCTAACTGGCATGAGATGGCATCTCACTGTGGTTTTGATTTGCATTGCTCTGATGACCAGTGATGATGAACATTTTTTCATAAGTTTGTTGGCCGCATAAATGTCTTCTTTTGACAAGTATCTGTTCATATCCTTCGCTCACTTTTTGATGGGGTTGTTTTTTTTTTTCTTGTAAATTTCTTTAAGTTCTTTGTAGATTCTGGATATTAGCCCTTTGTCAGATGGGTAGATTGCAAAAATTTTCTCCCATTCTGTAGGTTGCCTGTTCGCTCTGATGATGGTTTTTTTTTTTTTTGCTGTGCAGAAGCTCTTTAGTTTAATTAGATCCCATTTGTCAATTTTGGCTTTTGTTGCCATTGCTTCTGGTGTTTTAGTCATGAAGTCTTTGCCCATGCCTATGTTCTGAATGGTATTGCCTAGGTTTTCTTCTGGGATTTTTGTGGTGTTACATCTTATGTTTAAGAATTTAATCCAACTTGAGTTAATTTTTGTATATGGCGTAATGAAGGGATCCAGTTTCAGCTTTCTACATATGGCTAGCCAGTTTTCCCAGCACCATTTATTAAATAGGGAATCCTTTCCCCATTTCTTGTTTTTGTCAGGTTTGTCAAAGATCAGATGATTGTAGATGTGTGGTGTTATTTCTGAGGCCTCTGTTCTGTTCCATTGGTCTATACATCTGTTTTGGTACCAGTACCATGCTGTTTTGGTTACTGTAGCCTTGTAGTATAGTTTGAAGTCAGGTAATGTGATGCCTCCAGCTTTGTTCTTTTTGCTTAGGATTGTCTTGGCTATGCAGGCTCTTTTTTGGTTCCGTATAAATTTTAAAGTAGTTTTTTCCAATTCTGTGAAGAAAGTCAATGGTAGCTTGATGAGGATAGCATTGAATCTATAAATTACCTTGGGCAGTATGGTCATTTTCACAATATTGATTCTTCCTACCCATGAGCATGGAATGTTCTTCCACTTGTTTGTGCCCTCTTTTATTTCGTTGAGCAGTGGTTTTTAGTACTCCTTGAAGAGGTCCTTCACATCCCTTGTAAGTTGTATTCCTAGGTATTTTATTCTCTTTGTAGTAATTGTGAATGGGAGTTCACCGATGATTTGGCTCTCTGTTTGTCTACTATTTGTGTATAGGAATGTTCGTGAGTTTTGCACATTGATTTTGTATCCTGAGATTTTGCTGAAGTTGCTCATTAGGTTAAGGAGATTTTGGGCTGAGACAATGGGGTTTTCTAAATATACAATCATGTTTTCTGCAAACAGGGACAGTTTGACTTCCTCTTTTCCTAATTGAATATCCTTTATTTCTTTCTCTTGCCTGATTCCCCTAGCCAGAACTTCCAACACTATGTTGAATAGGAGTGGTGAGAGAGGGCATCCTTGTCTTGTGCTGTTTTTCAAAGGGAATGCTTCCAGTTTTTGCCCATTCAGTATGATATTGGCTGTGGGTTTGTCATAAATAGCTCTTATTATTTTGAGATACATTCCACAATACCTAGTTTATTGAGAGTTTTTAGCATGAAGTGCTGTTGAATTTTGTCAAAGGCCTTTTCTGCATGTATTAAGGTAATCATGTGTTTTTTGTCATTGGTTCTCTTTATGTGATGGATTATGTTTATCGATTTGTGTATGTTGAACCAGCCTTGGATCCCAGGGATGAAGCCAACTTGATTGTGGTGGATAAGCTTTGTGATGTGCTGCTGGATTTGATTTGCCAGTATTTTATTGAGGATTTTTGCATTGATATTCATCAGGGATATAGGTCTAAAATTCTCTTTTCTTGTTGTGTCTCTGCCAGGCTTTGGTATCAGGCTGATGCTGGCCTCATAAAATGAGTTAGGGAGGATTCCCTCCTCTTCTATTGATTGGAATAGTTTCAGAAGGAATGGTACCAGCTCCTCTTTGTACCTCTGGTAGAATTTGGCTGTGAATCCATCTGGTCCTGGAGTTTTTTTGGTTGGTAGGCTATTAATTATTGCCTCAATTTCAGAACCTGTTATTGTTCTATTCAGAGATTCAACTTCTTCCTGGTTTAGTCTTGGGGGGTGTATGTGTCCAGGAATTTATCCATATCTTCTAGATTTTCTAATTTATTTGCATAGAGATGTTTACAGTATTTTCTGATGGTAGTTTGTGTTTCTGTGGGATTGGTGGGATATCCCCTTTATCATTTTTTATTTTGTCTATTTGGTTCTTCTCTCTTTTTTTCTTTATTAGTCTTGCTAGTGGTGATCTTTTCAAAAAACGAGCTCCTAGATTCATTGATTTTTTGAAGGGCTTTTTCTGTCTCTATCTCCTTCAATTCTGCTCTGATCATAGTTATTTCTTGCCTTCTGCTAGCTTTTGAATTTTTTGCTCTTGCTTCTCTAGATCTTTTAATTGTGATGTTAGGGTGTGGATTTGAAATCTTTCCTGCTTTCTCTTGAGGGCATTTAGTGCTATAAATTTCCTTCTACATACTGCTTTAAATGTGTCCCAGAGATTCTGGTATGTTGTGTCTTTGTTCTCATTGGTTTCAAAGAACATCTTTATTTCTGCCTTCATTTCATTATGTACCCAGTAGTCATTCAGGAGCAGGTTGTTCAGTTTCCATGTAGTTGAGCAGTTTTGAGTGAGTTTCTTCAACCTGAGTTCTAATTTGACTGCCCTGTGGTCTGAGAGACAGTTTGTTGTGACTTCTGTTTTTCACATTTGCTGAGGAGTGTTTTACTTCCAATTATGTGGTCAATTTTAGAATAAGTGTGATATGGTGCTGAGAAAAATGTATATTCTGTTGATTTGGGGTGGAGAGTTCTGGAGATGTCTATTAGATCTGCTTGGTGCAGAGCTGAGTTCAAGTCCTGGATATCCTTGTTAATTTTCTGTCTTGTTGATCTGTCTAATATTGACAGTGGGGTGTTAAAATCTCCCATTAGTATTGTGTGGGAGCCTAAGTCTCTTTGTAGATCTCTAAGGACTTGCTTTATGAATCTGGGTGATCCTGTATTGAGTGCATATATATTTAGGACAGTTAGCTCTTCTTGTTGAATTGATCTCTTTACCATTATGTAGTGGCCTTCTTTGTCTCTTTTGGTCTTTGTTGGTTTAAAGTCTGTTTTATCAGATACTAGGATTGGAACCCCTGCTTTGTTTTGCTTTCCATTTGCTTGGTAGATCTTCCTCCATCCCTTTATTTTGAGCCTATGTGTGTCTTTGCACATGAGATGGGTCTCCTGAATACAGCACATGAATGGGTCTTGACTCTTTAACTAATTTGCCAGTATGTGTCTTTTAATTGGGGCATTTAGCCCATTTACATTTAAGGTTAATATTGTTATGTTTGAATTTGATCCAGTCATTATGATGTTAGCTGGTTATTTTGCCCATTAATTGATGCAGTTTCTTCATAGTGTTGATGGTCTTTACAATTAGGCATGTTTTTGCAGTGGCTGGTACCTGTTGTCCTTTCCATGTTTAGTGCTTTCTTCAGGAGCTCTTGTAAGGCAGGCCTGGTATCTCTCAGCATTTGCTTGTCTGTAAAGGATATTATTTCTCCTTCGCTTATGAAGCTTAGTTTGGCTGGATATGAAATTCTGGGTTGAAAATTCTTTTCTTTAAGGTTGTTGACTATTGGCCCCCACTCTCTTCTGGCTTGTGGGGTTTCCCGAGAGATCTGCTATTAGTTTGATGGGCTTCCCTTTGTGGGTAACCTGACCTTTCTCTCTGGCTGCCCTTAACATTTTTTCCTTCATTTCAACTTTGGTGAATCTGACAATTATGTGTCTTGTGGTTGTTCTTCTCGAGGGGTATCTTTGTGGTGTTCTCTATATTTCCTGAATTTGAATGTTGGCCTGCTTTGCTAGGTTGGGGAAGTTCTCCTGAATAATATCCTGAGGAGTGTTTTCTAACTTGGTTCCATTCTCCCTGTCACTTTCCGGTACACCAATCAAATGTTGATTTGGTCTTTTCACATAGTCCTATATTTCTTGGAGGCTTTGTTCATTTCTTTCCACTCTTTTTTCTCTAACCTTGTCTTCTCGCTTTGTTTCCTTAATTTGATCTTCAATCACTGATAGCCTTTCTTCTACTTGATTGAATTGGCTATTGAAGCTTGTGGATGCTTCACGAAGTTCTCATGCTGTGGTTTTCAGCTCCATCAGGTCATTTAAGGTCTTCTCTACACTATTCTAGTTAGGCATTCATCTAATCTTTTTTCAAGGTTTTTAGCTTCCTTGCGATGGGTTAGAACAAGCTCCTTTAGCTGGGAGAAGTTTGTTATTACCGACTTTCTGAAGCCTACTTCTGTCAACTCGTCAAACTTACTCTCCATCCAGTTTTGTTCCCTTGCTGGCAAGGAGCTGAGATCCTCTGGAGGAGAAGACATGCTCTGGTTTTTGGAATTTTCACCTTTTCTGCTCTGGTTTCTCCCCATCTTTGTGGTTTTATCTACCTTTGGTCTTTGATGTTGGTGAACTACAATGGGGTTTTGGGGTGGATGTCCTTTTTGTTGATGTTGATGCTACTCCTTTCTGTTTGTTAGTTTTCCTTCTAACAGACAGGCCCCTCAGCTGCAGGTCTGTTGGAGTTTGCTGGAGGTCCACTCTGACCCTGTTTTGCTGGGTATCTCCAGCAGAGGCTACAGAACAGCAAATATTGCTGCCTGATCCTTTCTCTGGAAGCTTCATCCCAGAGAGGTACTCGCTTGTTTGAAGTGTCTGTCAGCCCCTACTGGGAGGTGTCTCCCAGTCAGGCTACACAGGGGTCAGGGACCCACTTGAGGAAGCAATTTGTCCATTCTCAGAGCTTGAATGCCATGCTGAGGGAACCACTGGACGTTTAAGTCTGCAGAAGCTGTTTACTGCCTTTTGTTCAGATATGCCCTGCCCCTAGAGGTGGAATCTAGAGAGGCAGTAGTCCTTGCTAAGCTATGGTGGACCCCACCCAATTCAAGCTTCCCAGCTGCTTTGTTTACACTGTGAGCTACTCAAGCCTCACAATGGCGGATGCCCCCCTCCCTCATCAAGCTGCACCATTGCAAGTTAATCTCAGACTGCTGCACTAGCAGTGAGCAAGCCTCTGTGGGCATGGGACCCACCGGGCCAGGCATGGGAGGGTACCTCCTGGTCGGCTGGTTGCTGAGACCATGGGAAAAGTGCAGTATTTGGTCAGGAGTGTACCATTTCTCCAGGTACAGTCTGTCTCAGTTCCCTTGGGTGGGAAAGGGAAATCCCTTGGCCCCTTGTGCTTCCTGGTTGAGGCAATGCTGTGACCTGCTTCAGCTTGCTCTCCATGGGCTGCATCCCCTGTCCAACCAGTCCCAGTGAGATGAACCAGTACCTCAGTTGGAAATGCAGAAATCACCCGTCATCTGCATCGATCTCACTGGGAGCTGCAGACTGGAGCTATTCCTATTTGGCCATCTTGGAAGCGACCCCCTTCACTATTCATTTTAAATACAAAGCTGATCTTAGATATATAGAAACCTAAGCTATCTTTAAAGATAAGAAAGTTCATATTTATAAAGGTCTTCCTTTCCACTCTGATTTCATGATTTTCATAAATATAACTAAACTGTGATTTGTCATAAGCCAAAGTCACAAGTTGGACTTGTAACTGCAATGTATTAAATTTATATTTAGGCATTACATCTGTGTATCACTGTGTCCTTATGTATCTGATACTGTGAGATCAACAAAGCCTGGAGAAAGTGCTGGAGACACCTTCCTTATAGTCTAGTTCTTAGAAAACTCTCAATATTCAAAAGGCATTACATTTATTCTTTAAAACATTTTAAATAAGAAATGACTCCATTAAACAATCCACAAAGAAAGCCATCTCTCTTAAAGCTTTCCATGTTCATAAAACTCCCCAAATGTGTAGTTTTTATTTGGTAATTTAATTTCTGCTGCAGATGTCTATCCAATTTATTTGCGATTTATCACCGATTTTAATTTATAGTGAAAGTACTGGGCCAGATTTGTAAAGAGATAATATTTTTCTCCTCATTTCATTCTAGATTCAATGAATAATTGGTCTTTCCCATTATTATTAATTTATCTTTGCACACTAATGCTTTTGAACAATGATGAGTTTCACAAAATTCTTCTCCAGCTGTCACCTGGAAACTTTTTGTGCCAATGTTATTTTAGATTTATGCTAATAAAAATTTATTCCAGTTTTAAGACTTTAAATCCTCCTACATTTACTTGCCAAATACACCGTGTGAGTTCTTGAACAAGTTGCCTCCTTGCATCAGTCCATTTTCATGCTGCTGATAAAGACATACCTGAGACTGGGGAATTTACAAAAGAAATAGTTTCATTGGACTTACAGTTTCACATGGCTGGGGAGGCCTCACAATCGTGGTGGAAGGCAAGGAGGAGCAAGTCACATCTTACATAGATGGCAGCGGCAAAATGAGAGCTTGTGCAGAAAAACTCCCGTTTTTAAAACCATCAGATCTCATGTGACCCATTCACTATCACAAGGACAGCACAGGAGAGACCTGCCCTCATGATTCAATCATCTCTCACTGGGTTCCTTCCCACAATATGTGGGAATTATGGAAGCTCCAAGGTGAGATTTGTGTGGGGACACAGGGCTAAACCATATTGTTCTGCCCGGCCCCTGTAAAATCTCATATCTGCACATTTCAAAACCAATTATGCCTTCCCAACAGTCCCCCAAACTCTCAACTCATTTCAGCATTAACTCAAAAGTCCACAGCCAAAGTCTCATCTGAGACAAGGCAAGTCCCTTCCTCCTATGACCCTGTAAAATCAAAAGCAAGTTAGTTCCTTCCTAGATACAATGGGGATACAGGCATTGGGTAAATACAGCCATTCCAAATGGGAGAAATTGGCTGAAACAAAGGGGCTAAAGGCCCCAGGCAAGTCTGAAATCCAGTAGAGCAGTCAAATCTTAAAGCTCAAAGTGATCACCTTTGATTCCATGTCTCACATCCAGGTCCGCTGATGCAAGAGGTGGATTCCCATGGTCTTGGGGAGCTCTGCCCCTGTGCTTTGCAGGGTACAGCCTCCCTCCTGGCTGCTTTCATGGACTGATGTTGAGTGTCTGAATCTTTTCCAGGTGCACAGTGCAAACTTTTGGTGGATCTACCATTCTGGGAGCACAGTGCAAACTGTTGGTGGATCTATCATTCTGGGGTCTGGAGGATGGTGGCCGTCTTCTCACAGCTCCACTAAGTGGTATCCCAGTAGTGACTCTGTGGGGGGGCTCCAACCCCACATTTCCCTTCCATACTGCCCTAGCAGAGGTTCTCCATGAGGGCCCCACCCCTGCAGCAAACTTCTGCCTGGGCATCCAGGCATTTCCATACATCCTCTGAAATCTAGGTGGAGGTTCCTAAACCTCAATGCTTGATTTCTGTGCACCTGCAGGCTCAACACCATGTGGAAGCTGCCAAAGCTTGGGGCTTCCACCCTCTGAAGCCACGGCCTGAGCTCTATGTTGGCCCATTTCAGCCATGGCTGGGGCAGCTGGGACACAGGGCACGAAGTGCCTAGGCTGCACACAGCATGGGGACCTTGGGCCTGGCCCCCGAAACCACTTTTTCCTCCTAGGCCTCTGGGCCTGTGGTGGGAGGGGCTGCTGCAAAGGTCTCTGACAGTTGGAGATAGTTTCCCCATTGTCTTGGTGATTAACGTTTGGCTCCTCATTACTTATGCAAATTTCTGCAGCTCACTTGAATTTTTCCTCAGAAAATGGGATTTTCTTTTCTATTGCATTGTCAGGCTGCAAATTTTCTAAACTTTTATGCTCTGTTTCCCTTTTGAAACTGAATGCCTTTAACAGCGTCCAACTTTCCTCTTGAATGCTTTGTTGCTTAGAAATTTCTTCCACCATATACCCTAAATCATCTCTCTCAAGTTCAAAGCTCCACAAATCTCTAGGGCAGGGGCAAAATGCTGCCAGTCTTTTTGCTAAAAAATAACAAGAGTCACCTTTGCTCCAGTTCCCAATAAGTTCCTCATCTCCATCTGACACCACCTCAGCCTAAATTTCATTGTCCATATCATTATCAGCATTTTGGTAAAAGCCATTCAACAAGTCTCTAGGGAGTTCCAAACTTTCTCACATTTTCCTCTTCTTCTGAGCCCTCCAAACTGTTCCAACCTCTGCCTGTTACTTAGTTTCAAGGTTGCTTCCACATTTTTGGGTATCTTTTCAGCAGTGTCCCACTCTACTGGTACCAATTTATTGTGTTAGTCTGTTTTCATGCTCCTGATAAAGTCATACCTGAGATTGGGCAATTTACAAAAGAAAGAGGTTTATTGGACTTCCAGTTCCACATGGCTGGGGAGGCCTCACAATCATGGCAGAAGGATGAGCAAGTCACATCTTACATGGATGGCAGCAGGCAAAAAGAGAGCAGAGAAACTCCCATTTTAAAAACCATCAGAACTCGTGAGACCCACTCACTCTCACGAGAACAGCATTGAAAAGACCTACCCCCATGATTCAATCATCTCCCACTGGGTCCTTCCCACAACAAGTGGGAATTATGGGAGCTACAAGATGAGATTTGGGTGGGGACACAGAGCCAAACCATATCACTATTACACGAGTCAGAATATCCTTGTCTATATAGTGAAAATGTAATACTTGTCTCCCTTCTTCAGAAAAAGGCAGTGTAGCCCAATGGTTGAGAGAAATGATTTCTGTAGTCATATGGGCCAGTGTTCAAGTCTTAGCTCTGCAACTTAATACAGTGTGACTCTGGGAAATTTCCTTAATCTTTCTGAGGCTCAGTTTCCTCATCTAGACAATGGAGAAAATAATAATACTTATAGGGTTGTTATGAAGATGAAATCCAGCCATTATTTTATGTGCTTAGTATAATACTGGGCATATTGTGTGTTTCCTCAACTAACTGTGGCATATTTATGCATCTACAGGTACATATTTGTGAAGATCAAATAAAATATACACAAAATTGGTTTATAAGTGATAAAGAGCTATTCAGATGTGCTGGCATCATTAGCTGAGCATTCTAGTATATTTTTTGAGCCCAGACTTTGAGTTAAAACCTCCTGGGGACCTGAATAAAGCAACCATTGAGCCACTAGATCCACAGGAAGGCCTACCCTTTTCCACCCTCTGTCTCTGGCCCCAATACCACCCTCCATCTACTGTGCAGCCACTGTATTCTAGGCCCTGTGCTTTGCCTTCCTTGTTATTAACCCCCACAACAGTCCTTCAAGATAGATATGATAATTCATGTTTTGTAGATGAAACGGAGCTTAGCTCTTTTAAGTAACTTGTTTTATCATTGTATAGCTCTTACATTAGGGAATTAAGGTGAAAACACAAGTTGCTCTGGTGTTAAAGTACATGCATTTTTCACCGTACCATGTCTTCAAACAACAGTGGCAAACCAGACCGACTTGTACTTTGTCCTGGATCTGACGCTCCCACACCCTAGCAACTCTAGGTACGTTGGCTTACCACTAGAGGATAGGTTTCTTCATACATGAAATGACAGTAGCAAGACCTACCCTATAGGAATTTGTAAGTATTAAACAGAAAAGCATATAGTCAGTGATAATAAAGAATATTTCTTCATATTTTGTCTTCTGGTACTTTCCATCTCCCAAGGGTTGCTGGAGAGCCGCTCCTCCTTCCCTAGGCCAGCAGGGGGCAGTAGAGACCATAAAGGATCTGACCCAACCAGGAGGATCTCCTTAACCAACTGCCTCTGGGATCCTCCACCACTGTCTGGAATCTGAATTCGATCAGGTCCTTGGTAGTCTCTGATTCTGGCTCTTGGAATAGAAAAGAAGGAAAAACCTGTTATACACAATAACAGACACAGCTATCACAACAATAGTAATCCTTAGTGCTTGCGTTAAGACTCCAAATAGAAAGTTTTTATATTATACAGGAAGCGATTCACGTTGGCCCGGGGTTAGCAGTTTCATTAACCTCATGAAGACGTTAATATCATTAGGAAGGCAGAAAGAGAAAACCTTCAACTCCTCCATTAGACCCAATTACAGAGCGCTGCTGCACAAAGGAGGCTGCTGCCGAGCTTGTCTGTGCTCAGGCTCGCAGCCGCAGTGATCCCATTAGATTGCCACTCACTGAAGTCATTAAAGCAGCCTCATTTGTGGTAAGAAACCATCATTCCCGAAATAGGTTGCTTTCAAGAAATGAATATGGGTAAGTGATAATGATGACAAATTAACACAAGATGATAAAGTAAATGCAAATGCAGGCTGGGCCAAACATTGATAGATGGAGCTGGGGGTGGTATATCCCAGTTGCTCTATTTGTGCTTGATTTCTTACAACAACACTATGAGATCGCATTATTTAAGTTTTTATTCTGATTTATCTGGCTCTGCTCCCACTTGCTGTCATGAACCCCTGCAAAGTCCTCTCTATGTTTTTCTGATAGTTCTCAAAGGCAGCAGCAGTGCAGAGCATGTCATGTGTATGACGAAGAAGTACGACCAGTTTCCACATGGTGTGCATGGTTTTATTCCCTTTCTCCTGATCTCAGGTGCCCATATACAGGGGTCAGTTACTCCCACTGGCCACGGTCCCCTCTGCTCTGTAAGGTGGCTGTTGCTTCTGCTGGTTATTTCTGTGGATGCTCTCCAGCTCTGGAGGTGCCAAACCTGTGGTGGTTTATGTGCAAGTGTGTGTGTGTGTGTGTGTGAGAGAGAGAGAATGTGTGTGTGTGTGTGTGTGCATGTGTGTGTGTGTGAAGGTATGCCTCTTCCTTTTTTTTTTTTTTGAGATGGAGTTTTGCTCTGTCGCCCAGGCTGGAGTGCAGTGGTGTGATCTTGGCTCACTGCAACCTCTGCCTCCCAGGTTCAAGTGATTCTCCTGCCTCAGCCTCCTGAGTAGCTGAGATTAGAGGCGCATGCCTCCACATCCAGCTAATTTTTGTATTTTTAGTAGAGACAGGGTTTCACCGTGTTGGCCGGGCTGGTCTCCAACTCCTGACCTCAGGTGATCCACCCATCTTGGCCTCCCAAAGTGCTGGGATTACAGGTGTGAGCCACCGCACCTGGCCACCTCTTCTCTTTTTAAAAAGAATCACATCCTCCTAGATACCCTCAACACAGTACTGAGAGGCCCCTGGGTTCTTTATGAAAATAGACCTCTTTTTGTCCACCCTGCCAATATATCATTCTTCAAGATTGAGTCTAGATATCCTATTATCCAGGAAGTCTTCCCCAAGCACCCACATTGCTATGTGAGTATCTTCCATCCCTTTATGCCCTCAAACTACTCTGCTTGCTGCTATCTTGGCATAGGATATCAACAACAGTCTAATGGGGCAGATGACACATGACTCCTTGTGGGCAGGGTATGACTTACTCACCTTTGTATCCCCAGCACCTAGGAAACTGCCTAGCCCACAGTAGGTGCTGAATCTGTGTTTATGAAGTGAGCTTATTTCCTCTTTGTCTTTGAGATTTCTTTACCACTGGTCCCTCCCCTGATCCCACCCCAGCCCCTAGCATTCTAACTTTCTCTAGTCAGCTCTTTCTGGTACCTGCCTTCTTTGGCATGATACCCTGAATGCCTGTTTTTACCTAGGGCTCTGGATTTGTGGTTTGGTTTTGAATTGTTCACTAGGTTTTAAACCAATACTTTTTTTTGGATGCTGTATTACTTTCCTAGGGCTGCCATAACAAAGTACAACAAACTGGGTGGTTTACGCATCAGACACTTGTTGTCTCACTTTTCTAGTGGCTAGAAGTCTGAAATTAGGGTGTCAACAGGGTTGGTTCCTTCTGAGGGCTGTGAGGGAGGCATCTCCAGGCCTCTCCGCTAGCTTCTGGCATTCCTCAGCATGTAGATATTTACCCCGTGACTTCACATTGTCTTCCCTTTGTAAGTGTCTTTGTGTCCAAATGTCTCCTTTTCATAAGAACTCCAGTCATATTAGATTAGGGCTCACCCTAATGACTTCACCTTAATTTGATCATCTTAAAGAACATATTTCTAAACAAGTGCAATGGTGTGATCTTGGCTCACTGCAACCTCTGCCTCCCGGGTTCAAGCGATTCTCCTGCCTCAGCCTCCTGAGTAGCTGGGATTATAGGCGCATGCCTATAATTCCAGCTGTGAATATAATATATTCACAGATACTAGGGGACAAGACTTCAACATTTTTTGGGGGGTACAATTCAACCCATAACAGATGCCTCATCTAGTAGCACCTCAATGGTAAATGGCACCACGCAGCTGGCCCAGGTTTCACCAAAGCTTCCCATGGCAGCTTCTGTTTTTCAAGAGGGAGTTCACATGGTATCCAATAGTTGCTAGTTCACTTTCCTTTTCTATATTCTCAAGGAGAATGCAGTACTCAAACTAGGAGGTATTTTTAATCTTTCACTCTTTAAGTAAACTGGGCTGTACATTTATTTTGAGAAGTGAAAAAAAATTTGCTCATTGGCATTGGCATCCAGCTAAAATCAAGTTCAGTAATGCCCCAGGCTATTCAAAGCTTTTGTGCCTGTGACCTATTTGTGGGAAGATAATGTATTAATAATTGTAATGTTATAGCAGCCTCCTGATAATATATTCCAATATTTTATTGGTTTGCTATCTCTGAAAGGACTGGGAACCCCCTGAATAATTCCACTGAGGCGGGATAATCTTAGAAAGTCTCTGAACAGCAGTGAGTCAGCCAGAATAAGCCTGTCTGGCACAATCCACAGGGATCCCCTCAAGAGAGAAAACAAAGTCAAAAGTAGCAGAAACAACTGAGTGGAAGAAGTGAAACCAGTGGAAGATTTAGCCAATTTCCATGGCAGATTTAAGTCACTGGTTTAATGTTGGTCGAAGAGGTGTTCTTGGAGTTGCCTGCATTACGTTGCTTCTCATTTCGATGCTTAGTTTATGAAACATTTATGTGTCTTTTCATGTATTGTTAGTTTCCTCCCCTTTTACTCCCTGGAATGAGAGTCACAAGAGAGGCTACAGAAGAGGTAGTAGCCCCTTCATATCTGATGCAGACATGCAAGTTTTCAGTCCCTTACTGTAAGTTATGCCTTTATGCTACTTGCTTTCAATCCTGGCAATGCCACCATAGATTCTGCTGCAATTGGTCTTGGCTGGGTCGGGGAATAGTGCTTTTTAAGAGCAGCACTGGTGATTCTAATATGTAGCCAATGTTGAGAACCATGCCCTCCATCTTTTTGGCTTGTTTGCTTTGAAAGACAGAAGAGCAAAATTAGGGGAATATTTGCAGTGTAAGGTCTATCTATATTCCTCCAGGACACACATGCCCCTCTCTATCCCCTATCCTTAACTAGGCACATTCATGAAGCAAAAATTCCCTGTACCTCATCATGGCCACGGGCATGAGGGAATGATGCTGGATCATGACCTTAAAGGAACCATGCAGCTCTATGGGCATGAAGAAGCCATGCAGTATGATGGCCATGAGGGAACCATGAGGCTCCATGGGCATGAGGAACCATGCAGCTCCATGGCCATAAGGGAATCATGCAGCTACAGGGCCATGAGGAGCCATGCAGCTTCATGTGCATGAGGTAGTATGCAGCTCCAAGGGCATGAGGAAACCATGCAACAATATGGGCATGGGGGAACCATGCAGCCTCTTGAGCTTGAGAAAATCATGTGGCACCATGTGCATGAGGAAACTGGGTAGCTCCATGTGCCTGAGGAAACTATGCAGCTCTGTGGGCATAAGAGAACCACGACGCTACATGTGCATGAAGGAACCATGCAGCTCCATAGCCATGAGGAAACAATGTGGCACCACGACCATGAGGAAACCACGTGGCTCCATGGGCATGAGGGAACCATGCGGCTCCATGGGCATGAGGGAACCATGCAGCTCCATGGGCATGAGGACACCATGTAGTATCATGGGCATGAGGGAACCATGCAGCTATGTGTCCATAAGAGAACTATGCAGCTTCATAGGCATGAGGAAATTATGCAGCTCCATGGGGATGTGGAAACCATGCAGCTCTATGTCCATGAGAAAACCATGAAGCTCCATGGGCATAAGGAAACCAAGCAGCACCACGTACATCAGGAACCATGGAGCATCATGACAATGAGGAATCCATGCAGCTCCATGGTCATGAGGGGACCATGGGGCACCATGGTTATGAGGAAACTATGCAGCACCATGGGCTGAGGAAACCAGGCAACTCCATGGGCATAAGGAAATCATAGCTCCATGGCTATAAGAACAGCAAGCAGCTGCATGGCTAGAAGGAAATAATGCAGTACCATGATAGTTGATTACTGTTCACAACTTTTAGTACATCTGGTAGTCTGAGCCTTTAGATACTGCATATCCATTTCCTAGTTGAATTAACTTTTATTTCATGTCTTTTAAACTGGGTTCTTGCCTTTTGACTGGATTGGTAAGTTACTGGACCATCTAAGCCTTTTTCCTTATCAGAAACAGTGTCTTTCTTCCTCTGTATTGTGAAATGAGTGCAAATAGCCTGAATGTATTAGTCCGTTTTCACACTGCTGTAAAGAACTACCTAAGACTGGGTAATTTATAAAAAGAAGAGGTTTAATTGACTCCCAGTTCTGCATGGCTGGGGAGGCCTCAGGAAACTTACAATCATGGTGGAAAGTGAAGGGGAAGCAAGTCGTATCTTACATGACATCGGGAGAGAGAGTGAAAGAGTGAGGAAGTGCCACAGTTTAAAACCATCAGCTCTTATGAGAACTCATTCACTATCTTGAGAGCAGCATGGGGAAGATGGCTTCCATGATCTAATCACCTCCCAACCTCAACATGTGGGGATGACAATTCGAGATGAAATTTGGGTGGAGATACAGAGCCAAACCATATCACTGTGCTTGCAGAAATAGCTTGAAAATCTCTTCTATTCTCATCAACATACCTCTGAGGGCATGATTTCTTTTTTTACGTTCTCATAGTAGAAAGAACTGCAACGTAGACTAGATAAGTTAACAGGGAATAGCCAGTTCGTTGGTATCATTAAAGGGTTTAAATATTGACGTACACAGTGGCTTAAACAGTGCATACAGGTTTTTAATATGGAGAATATCTATTTCATAAGAACTAATGAGATGATGTATGTGACGGTACCCAGCACAGTTCATGGAATTGAATGGGTGCTCAATGTGTCTGTGTTTCTTAATTTATTAACTCCTGTGCCAAGACACTTGATGAGGGCTTCCAGCACAAGATGCTGGGAGTCCTTGACCATGTCAGTGATAAGAGTATGACCCATTTCACTGATAGTGGGTTACAATATTTTCTTTTATTTTCTAAGTAACTGAGAATACGGAGGTCTTATCAGCAGGAAGTTCAGAGTTTGTTCTTATCTTTGCTCACTCATGTAGGTAGTAAAATTATTTAAACATATTTTTCTATTTATTAACAAATATTAAAAAGTATCTACTTCCATCAGTGGATGAATGGCTACACAAAATGTGGCCCATACAAACAATGGAATACTATTCATTCTTAAAAATGAAGACAATTCTGATACATGCTACAACGCAGATGAACCTTGAAAACATGATGCCAAGAGAAGTAAGTCAGATGCAAAAGGACAGATAATGTATGATTCCACTTATGTGAGGTATGATAATAGGCAAATTCACAGAGACAGAAAGAACAGTGGTTACCAGGCATTGAGTGGAGCAGAAGAAGAGGAGTTATAGGGAGTACAGAGTTTCTGTTTGGGATGATGAAAAAGTTCTGGAAATGTATAATGTTGATGGTTACACAACATTGTGAATGTACTTAATACCATTGGATTGCATGCTTGAAATGGCAAATTTTATGTTAGGCATATTTTATCACCACCACTACCCCATATTTTATCACCACCACTACCCCCCCCCACCAACACACACACACACACGTAACTACTGAGTATATGCTGGAGGAGAGTAGTGGCTTTCTGGAATATAAACAAAAGCCTTATCTGTAGCATTGGCTGATTTCCATGGTGTAAATTCTTCCTCTGAGGCAGATTTCAAGCTATCAACACAATGACTCTGAACTTGGAGTTGGCAATAGAAGAGCAACATTGGCTCTTCTGAGTCAGTAGGAGCTGACTTCAGCCCACTTCTGACTGGAAAATGAGAAATTTGGTATAACTTGACTTTTTCACTGCTTTCCCCACTTGCCACTTTTTGTTGTACATTGGCAGTTTGAATTAAGGTTAGAAAATTATTATTTTTATGTTAAGTAATATAATGATAATTTGAAACTTGTATTAAATTTTAATGTGTATGTTAACTTTGGAGACTACATTTTACTGATCACTAGCTTTTCTTTTTCTTTTTCTTTTTTTCTTTTTTTTTGAGACAGGACCTCACGCTGGCACCCAGGCTGGAGTGCAGTTGTGTGATCACGGCTCACTGCAGCCTTGACCTCTCAGTCTGAAGCGATTCTCCCACCTCAGCCTCCTGAGTAGCTGGGAGTACAGGTGTGAGCCACCACACCCAGCTAATTTTTATTTTTTTGGAGAAATGGGTTCTCACTATGTTTCCCAGGCTGATAACTTCTGGGTTCAAGCAATCCTCCTACTTTGGACTCTGAAAGTGCTGGGATTACAGGTATGAGCCACCATATGCAGCCCCAACTTGTTTCAGAGGGGTGCATTTGTCCCAGTTCTTCAGGTTTCCCCTTATTTGATTTGCTTTAGTGCTTTACATGTTTAGTGATTTTTTTTCCTGTTTACTCATCTTACAGAGTGACATCAATTTCTCTATTGGTAGTTGAAATGGGTCTGATGGGAGGAATGTGGATTTTTGTTTATTTCAGGCACATAGGAAGAAGAAAGAGAAAAGGAAAAGGTTAGGTTGCCAGGAGACTTTGACTTACCAATTAGTCTAGAGATCTAGCATGCTAGTGGGTAAAGGCTGGGAAGTAGAATCAGAATTTACTTCCATATTTCTTGAGGCAATCAGACTTCAACAAGGGCAATGCTACTTTTCCTGGTGTGGCAGGGTTGTTCTTAAAATGGGCTAGTGATGGCAGTGCTCCTATACTTGGTCAGCATGGCAACATGAGCTGATTTCTTAGGTACATTTGTCCAACACATGAGAGAAGTCATGGGAACAGCCCGCTCTTCTCCTATCTAATTGCCTTTGCATAATGGTTTGAAATACCTCGATGTTTCTTGGTTGAAGATGTCACCCATTATTCTTACCTAAAATTTTGCTTTTACCTTTTAAATTGGCACTGGGAATGGGACATGACAAGATTTCTTTATCTGGAAATCTAAAAAAGAAGATCATAAACTAAATGTTTGGGGTCAGAGGTGGCAGTTCCATGCTGCTGAGAGCCTGATGTCTGTTTCTTACCAGCGCTGGCTTCTCCAACAGGTCAGTGCTTGCTCTTTCTGTGTGGATCCTGTGTGGGGCTGTGTGGATCCTACTGTTGCATCAGCATAACCGATACCATTTACTTCATTCATTTGGGGTACAAATATGATCCCGTCACCTTAATATTGTCAAATTAATTGTTTAAAACCCAAGGTATCCTGGTAGGAAGATATCCAGTGGTTGCCTTAAGACCTTTACCCCTACTTAAAAATTCCCAAGAACTCCAAAGCTTTACTCTGTCCAAATTTAGGGGAGGATTATTTCTCCTTCTATTAATAATACCATAATTAGAGGGAAGTGGGAACCCTGATCACTGCTTCATATTAGCTCATGTCACTGCTGTTGAAACTGGGTCCCATAGATGATTCCCTTTGCAATATGTTGAATGTTCAAGTTCCTGTGCAGACCACTGTGGAATCTCAAAGTTGAGCTCGAGATCATTATTCCCATAGTCCATTCTTAAACATGTCCTAACAACACTGTGCTAGGATGACTGAGTCCCAAGAGGCTTCTAGTATCAGTATGCATTGTGCTGTTACCAGGCCTCCTGACTCCCAAGTCTCAGGCCTGTTGAGCCCCGGTCACTAGCCTAGATTATACCTTTCCACAGTTAATTTTATTCCAGAGGCCTTGCCTTTCTTTACTCTGGGCCTTCTTCTGGGCCACCCTCGTCTACCCTCATGGTTCTCCCATGAGGGAACAGGGTTTGCAGGATCAGATCCTTCTCTCCTGCAATATACAATATGCAGATTGGTCCACTTTCTTCAGCAGACATGGACTCTGCTTGCCAGTGGATATTGTGTTGGGTCTGACGTGGCAAGGCACAAATATTCCTATTGTAATCTTCTGCCAGAGAAAAAGTCCATGCTCATTCTTCAAAAGAGAGAACACTCAAGTGATTCTTTGAAGAAAAAATATCTTGTTCAAGGTACTACTCTGCCCTTACCTATGTTGAAAAGCAGCTGGCAGAGACTGTTAATACAAAGGCAGATGTAACTCCTTTTGTGGTATTGTTTCATCTTTACGTTTATTCTGTGGTACGAGAGAGCATGGCTAATGTGGGCATATGGAGTCACAGTATTAGAAAAGGCAAACAGGTAAGTGGTAGAGTCAGAATTTGATTCCATCTCCCTGACTCTGAGGCCAGTGTCTATTCTGTCAATTGACAGTTATTATTGGGTACTTGCTGGTGCCAGACACGGCACTTGGTAGGTGCTGGGGATACAAGGAGAAGACATGGTTCTAGAGAGGAAGTTAAACTACAAGAAAGAAAATGTAAAGGTGTGAACAGGGCACTAAGAGCACATGAGAGAGGGCACTTGAGCGGGGGTTTCCTGGAGAAGGAGATGTCCAAGCTGAGTCTTGAAGGAAAAATTGGGTAAGGCGAGTAGGCTCTTTATAGTGAGATAAACAGCAAGTGCTGACTGCAGAGCTTTCTGGTTACCATAATGTACTTTGTTATTGGGATAGAGAGCAGCTGCTGTGTAAAGGCTTTCTAAGTGTTTCTTTCTTCTTTCTTTTTTTTTTTTAAAAACACAGCTTTATTGAAGTGTAACTGATACCCAGAAAGCTGCACATATTTGATGTATACAATTTAATAAGTTTGTACATATGCATACACCTGTGAAACTATTACCACCGTCAAGATAATAAACATATCCATGCCCCTTTTTTTCATGGTAAGAATACTTAACATGAGACCTACCCTCTTAACAAAATTAGGCGCACAATACAGTATTGTTAACTATAGGCACCATGCTGTACATCTGCATAACTCTAGGACACATTCATCTTGCATGACTGAAGCTCTATACCCATTGAACAACAACTCCTCCTTTTTTCCCCCTCTTCCATCCGCCAAAAGCCACCATTCTACTTTCTGCTTTTATGAGTTTGACTATTTTAGATGCCTCATATAAATGGAATCATACAGTATTTCTTTATAAGGGCATATTTATACCTACTGGAAACCAGTTTGTTGCAACTAATTACCATTTGAACTTATGGGACACATTGGTTTGTGTAAAACTAAAACAATTCTGAACCCATTATTGCCTGGTTTTCATTTCCATTCTTTAAGTCCCATATAATCAAAGTTATAGTTATTCTAACATATTTTTGAGCAATGTTTGTAAATGGACTGATGTTAGTTGAGTACATGCCACGTGTTAGGTTCTTTATATCAATGTTCTCATGATGTGTGTATTATTACCTTTGTTATAGACAGGAAAACTGAGGCTCAGACAGATTAAATATGCTGAAGGTCGCACAACTAAGTGTATCAGCTGGAGCAATAAGTGTGTCAGCTGGAATACAAACTCAGACCGGGCTGCTCATTCTAAGGCAATACCCAGAGCTCTCACTACCATCCTCTGTGTTGCTGGAAGTCTGAGTTGCTGACAGAGAACCCTATTAATTACATGTGAGTGAAAATAGACTGAGGGGCATTAAGCAGGTGTGACCATAAAAACTGCTTCTGTTTCCATGGATTTAATTATCTCCCACTATTGGCTTGAATTGGTTGTGAATGCACTGATAGAAGGTAATCAAAGAGCTGAATGAACCTGGCAGTTGTAAACGGAAGCACAGGGTCCCCGTCAGGCCAGTACAGAAGTGAATGCATCCGTTGTTTTTAATAGGCCAAATATTTCTCTCTTGTTCCCTAGGAGGCAATTGGAAGAGACATGCTGATAGCTCCCCTTGGGACATTAACCGGAATCATATTTGTAAAGTGAAGCTTAAGTTGGTCATTTTATTCCCAGTTTCACAGAAATAGGAGGCGAATGGCAGTGGGAGCAAAGACACAATTTCTAGTTCCTCAAAGATCACAAATTCTATTAGTGCAATATTTTCACACAGTTATATAAAATGTTCACTTTCGATAAATCTCTATTTTCTGGTGGTTTTAAAGGCAAATCTTTTCTACTGTAATGATTGTTTGAATGACCAATGTGGACATTTCTCCTTGCCTAGATTTCTGATTCCTCAGCAATATAATCCCATGATCCACATTTAGTTTGTACTTTCTAGGTGATCAACACAGCTGCTCTGTCTGTGGGATGTGGATAGCCTCGTGAACTTCTGACCCCTATGTTTTGAATGCCTTATGGTCATGACTTAATTTTGAAGATAACATTTGGTGAGTCAAAGGAAAAGAGTGAACTCTCCCATATGTTCCTTTAATACTACTTCCCAAGGTTAAGAAAGAGAAATTGAAATATGCTAAGTCAGAAAAGAAATTCATGGCAATGGGAACCAGTTTGGGATACGGCTATTCTGAAGGTTCAGAGATGTACTTATTTCCTGGAAGATCACGTTGCAACTGTCAGTTAACCTATAAGGATCCCTATCAATAGAGGAGAGGAGAGAAGAGGAACAAGATAGGTTTTTAGTGCCTCGGTGCATTATGCTATTCTCATCAACCATCACATTATGAATTTAATGAAGTTACTCAGATAACTATAAGTCAGATTAGAGTTCAGTGTGTTTTCGATTGAATTATCCAGTTTGATTATTGACATGTACAATATTTAATTAAATTTATTACCACTAATACAGTATAAATGAAAATCTGGCTAGATTTTCAAAGCCATAGTTTTACCTAGGAATATGAATAATAACTGGATGTGGCAGTTCTCAAAAAGAAAGAAACTTTTTTTCACAGATATCTCATTCTATGTCATAACAACATATATGACTGTTTAACTGGGTAACCATTTGTTTATAAAGCTATTTTCATGTTCCTAGCACTGCTAGAGTTTGGGATTCCTGTAATGAGTAAGATAATCCCTTGCTTTCAAAAAACTCACAGTCCTTTTTATTGAAGGCTTGAATTATTTATCTTTAGTAAATCGAAATGTGTTTTAAGTGTGCTCACCCAGTCCATGAATTAAAGTTCTGGTTAATTATTTTGTAAAGAAAGGATTACTTTTGCCATAAGAAGAGCACTGTAAGTTTACTCTTTTTGTATCCTGTTTCTTAATGTGGGGCTTTATAGCTAGTGTAGCTGCTTCTTAAAACAGGTGTTTCAAACAACGGAAGGGAGAGCCAGGTTTGTTGGGCCTTGGGTCTTCTGGCCACTTATTTCCCACTTTTCCCCTACTCAACCCTCTGCTTTTGTGACATTTCTTGCATTGAGCTCATTCTCCCCTTCTTTGATAATTTGCTTGTTATGTCCCCTTCACCCAGAGTTTCTTCTTTTCTTTGATAATATGAACTTTTCATTGTTTTTTAAAGCTTAGCTTAACTTTTCTTCCTCCTTAAAGCTTTCCCTACCCTCACCCAGAACTCTCTTTTTATTCATTAAATTCTAGGAGCAATGTCAGGGCAATTAGCACTTGGTCAGTTTCTAGTGTTTCAATAACATTAATAACAACAAACAGCAGTTTTCACTAAGTGCTTACTGAGTACCAATGTTATAACCACCGGACATGCATGTACTATTATTATCTTTATTTTATAGATAAGAACATTGCAATCCAGAGGACTTTAGTAGCTTAATAAAGGCCCCACAGCTGGCAAGTAGTGGATCTGGGTAAACCCAGACCATTAGATCCTAGAGCCTGAGCTATTATCCACTGGCATTTCTGAATGTGTGGTCTTCTGACCATGTACATTAGAATCACCAACATGGATACTGTTAAAAATGCAGATTACTGGCCTGGCGCAGTGGCTCTCATCTGTAATCCCAGCACTTTGGGAGGCTGAGATGGGTAGATCATGAGGTCAGCAGTTGGAGACCAGCCTGGCCAACATAGTGCAACCCCATCTTTTCTAAAAATACAAAAAATTAGCCAGGTGTGGTGGCTGGTGCCTGTAATCCCAGTTACTTGGGAGGCTGAGGCAGAAGAAACGCTTGAACTCGGGAGACAGAGGTTGCAGTGAGCCAAGATCGCGCCATTGCACTCCAGCCCGGGAGACAGTGCGAGACTGTCTCAAAAAAAAACCCCAAAAAAACCAAAAAACAAAAAAAACAAAACAAAAAAAAATGCAGATTACTGAACCCACCCAGATCTACTGTCTTAGAATCTATGGATCTAGATGCAGAGCCTGGGAATCTGCATCTTTAACAAGCTTCCCGGGTAACTCTTACAAACTATATTTTGAGAATCATTGCATATACTTTGCTGACTTTTCATTAATATATTTACCTTCCTAATCTGACTGTAAACTTCTTGAGGTCAGAGATTATGCTATCTACATACAACCTTCTAAATCCCCAAGTCTGCAATAGACATTTAGACATTGACTACAAGCTTAATCAATACTTGCTTTTTTTCTGATATAGGCAGCAAAATTAAATATTTTCATACAACTGTTGGAAAGATTCATATGATGGGACTTCTCATGAAAGCATCTGGTAATAGCCAAAGGCCCCGTAGTTAGGACCAACCTCATGAATGCTTCTTCTCA
This sequence comes from Homo sapiens, assembly GCF_000001405.40. NCBI lineage: Eukaryota > Metazoa > Chordata > Mammalia > Primates > Hominidae > Homo > Homo sapiens. The sequence continues at coordinate 100,727,905 of NC_000009.12, forward strand.
TTCTGATACTGACTTAGTACATCTTCATTTCCTGCCTCAGTTTGCCTGCCTTTGAAGTTGGGGACATTTTAATAATAAAGAAACGGAGGTATTGGTGGGAGCTAGTAATGGTAATTAGAATATAGAATTTAAAAAGTGATAAGACTAACATCTCATTTAGACATTTAAGATATAAATGAAATTAGCTTATTATTGAAGTTAGATCATACATGGTCCATTTCTAATTCACTGTGACAAGACTTTCACATCAGTTCAATTAGGTAGATGTTGAGGGGTCACACAAAAGCTTTTCTGTACCCTCTGATGGCTGTTGACAATTGCTGAGTTAGCTAGTAGTGGCCTTGCATTAGTCTGTGATAACAGGATACTCACACCTTCCAGTCCAGCCTCCTAGTTTCAGATGATCTATATAATTTCCTCAGGTCAAGCCAGAATTTTAACCCTGATCTTAATATTCCAAATTCATTGTTTCCCACAGCCGCATCCTATTTCCTCTGCATGGCATGCTACTAAACATATGAGTCAAAAAGCAGCTTAGGTCGTGTGGGAATAAGGCTGGTAACAGAAAAGAAAAGACTTATTTTGTACTCCCCTGACCTTTTTTTTTGGCTAACCAATTTCTTATGCGGCATCAGCTCCTGAAGGACTGCTGACAGCATATTAGCCATTTACATTTTATCCATTTATAATCAGAATCATGGCAATCCAAATGTTTACTTTTAATATGAATACCAACCGTATCACTAGGCAATTGTTATCATTAAACCCTAGCAATTGGCTAATGTCCAACGAATAATTTAAACTGTGGAACCTTGTGGGTTACTGTCCTGCCTGTGTGTTATTAATTCTTATCAACATTTTGTTTAAAGAAACAGTTTTGGAAGGAACAATAAGCAAAAAATAAAAGTATCACCTACCTATCACACACTACTGAGGATGGAAAACATCTAATATTTATTTGGAGATCCGATGGACTGGGGATGAGTTGTCAACAGAAACAGCACCTGTGAATGTGCCCTTTGTCTTTCTAGAAAAGTCATTTGTTAGGAATTTATTTATTAAATAAATTTTATTGTGTATATTGTGTTTATTTATAAATTATATTATATATTTTATATGTAGTATGTGTATATATATAGTAGTAAGATGATTACTATAATGGAATGAATTAACATATCCATCATCCCTCACATAGTTACCCATTTTTCCCCTCTGTGGCAAGAGCCTCTATAATTTACACATTTAGCAAAAATCCTAAATACCATACATTATTATTAACCATAATCTCCATGTTGTACATGGATCTTTTAGGGCTTTGCCATGACATATTACCTGTCTATTACCTGCCTGTAAATAGGTTTTTAGATTTCCCTGACAGGAGAAGGTTAAACATTGTAAACATTGTAAAAATGTTTAACCTTCCCCTCAAACATTGTAAAAAACATGCCATTAGATAATTTCTTAAGGAAATACTCCAAAAAGCTTCTCTTCTCCTAAGAGACATCTTAGGATGAGTTAGTCAGTGTAAATGGGGGGTTGAAGCACATCCAAATGAAAGATGAATTCTGCTGCCTCATTCTTTTAATGGCCTCCTGCCCAAAATAAAACTAGCCAGCAAGCGGTATTTATCTTAGCGATGCTGCCATTTCATATTACAAAGTGACCATGCAGTCTCATGAACATAGTCCAAAAGTGCTGACTTTCAAAGGCAGTTGAATTTTTTTTTTACTTGTTACTGTTTTATAGCTTTGCATAAAATGCTAATGCAATGACATTTGTAGAACTATTAAATCATTTTAATGAAAGAGTAACAGTTATACAACTAATTCATTTTAGTGCATTTCACTTGCAGAATCCTTTAGTAGTTGATTGTAATGGGAAGAAGCAATTTTTTTTTGTAGCTCCATAATTTTGTTCTCATGTGGAACCAAATCTCATTATTTTGGTGTAGTTTATATCCAAGTCTAATGGAGCAAATCCATTGACAGAATTTGTTGTCCCAAATCTGGGCCCATTTGCCTGATGGCCCCCACTTAATGTGATCTATAGTCTAGCCAAGCCAAGTCTGCTTCTCTGGAAAAATATGGCTTTCTGTTTTCCTTTTAAGTGTTTAGGGGTAAATATACAGTCATGCATTTTCAGCTACTGAAAAATGAGCTCAATCGCCATAACACCAAATCAAGGAAAACATTTGGGCTTTAAAAATTATCTTTGATCATATAACAAGACAGCTGGGATTGATTATTATCCCGGTCCCACATTTCCTCATTAATGGCCATCCCACTCGGTATATGCTGTCATGCCAGGACCTCTGTGGAAGAGAATGGCTGGAAAGCCTGGAAACATTAAGCCCTGTGAGCAGTGGAAACAGATTTACATTTCTAAACAGATCCTTTGTTAAAGATCACCAGTGCATAGATCTGCAGCTTTCTTCTAGAGTAAAATCATTCTCTGTTTCTCTATTCCTGGCCCCCATGTTTTCAGACAAAGCTTCCATTAATAGATAACTCTTTCTTAAACAAAAATTTCTTTTAAGGAATTGCATTCCCTGATGTCCTCAAATGCTTAGGTTACCCAGAGAGTTGACTTCATTGTCAACATATTTTTACCCCCTTACAAACATATGTATTCCCTTTAACATTTTTCTCCTTACAAACTGTATTATTCCTCTTAAAATAAGTATATTCTTGTGAAATATGAATTCATTTTGTTTACCCTTACTGCAAATTTTTCTTCTGATTTTCTTCTGAACCAACTAGTCTCATTATTATTCTACCATGAGTTTAAGGATTTTGCTGCTAAAATGTTCATATCTTTTCCTTCACTCAGGCTTCTCTTGAGCATAGATGTAAAATATTGCAAAGATGTGAAAACTAGAATGTTTTCCCTCCAGGTGAACTGATTATCAAACTTAGTGTCCTGAACAACAGCACTCTTCTGCATTTTATCTAGCTTTGATCATTTTAGAACATAGATTTCTTCTAAAACAATGCCTGTACAGTATCATTCCAAATATATAACAGTGAAATTAATGCCTTTTTCATTCACACGGTATTATCGACCGGAAGAAGCACATCCATTTAGATTCTCACTAGCAGCCTAGTTTACTTTATTCCATTATTTACAATGAAAGGGTTAGAATTTCTGTTTGTATTTATGTAGGTGGTACATTAAATGTGTACAATTTTATGAATATTTTTCATCCAGCTCATCAGAATACCAATTTTGTCTGTTAAAATATCGTATATTTCTGGCCAATACCACATCTGACCCGCGAGCACAGAACCCCGCCCTTGCCGCTCTGCCGCCCAGTCCACACCCGCCGCCAGCTCACCATGGATGATGATATCGCCCCACTTGTCATTGACAACGGCTCAGGCATGTGCAAGGCCGGCTTTGCAGGTGATAATGTCCCCCTGGGCCATCTTCCCCCTCCATCGTGGAGCTCCCTAGGCGCCAGGGTGTGATGGTGGGCATGGGTCAGAAGGACTTGTACGTGGGGCGGCAAGGCCCAGAGCAAGAGAGGCATCCTGACCCTGAAGTACCCCATCGAGCACACATCGTCACCACCTGGGATGACATGGAGAAGATCTGGCTCTACAATGAGCTGGGTGTGGCTCCTGAGGAGCACCCGTGCAGCTGACTGAGGCCCCCATGAACCACAAGGCCAACTGCAAGAAGATGACCCAGATCATGTTTGAGACCTTCAACACCCCAGCCATATACGTGGCCATCCAGGCCTTGTGGTCCCTGTACGCCTCTGGCCGTACCACTAGCATCATGATGGACTCCGTGGATGGGGTCACCCACACTGTGCCCATGTACAAGGGGCATGCCCTCCCCCATGCCATCCTGTATCTGGACCTGGCCGGCTGGGACCTGACTGGCTACCTCATGAAGATCCTCACCCAGCGCGGCTACAGCTTCACTACCAGGGCAGAGCAGGAGATTGTGCATGACATCAAGGAAAAGCTGTGCTACGTCGCCCTGGACTTCGAGCAGGAGATGGCCACGGCAGCCTCCAGCTCCTCCCTGGAGAAGATCTAGGAGCTGCCCTACTGCCAGGTCATCACCATCGGCAACGAGTGTTTCCTCTGCCCCAAGGTGCTCTTCCAGCCTTCCTTCCTGGGCATGGAATCCTGTGGCATTCACGAAACTGCCTTCGACTCCATCATGAAATGTGACGTGGACATCCACAAAGACCTGTATGCCAACCCAGTGCTGTCTGACGGTACTACCATGAACCCTGGCAACCCTGACAGGATGCAGAAAGAGATCACTGCCCTGGCGCCCAGCACAATGAAAATCAAGATTATTGCTCCTCCCGAGCTCAAATACTCTGTGTGGATTGGCTCCATCCTGGCCTCGCTGTCCACTTTCCAGCAGATCAGATATGGACCAGCAAGCGGGGGTATGACGAGTCGGCCCCTCCATCCTCCAAATGCTTCTAGGCAGACTGTTAATTGCGTTACACCCTTTCTTGATAAAACCTAACTGGTGCAGAGAACAAGATGAGATTGGCATGGCTTTATTTTTTATTTTATTATTTTATTTTTATTTTTATTTTTTTTGTGGCTTGACTCAGATTTAAAAACTGGAACGGTGAAGGTGACAGCAGTCTGTTTGAGCAAGCATCCTCCAAAGTTCTACAATGTGGCCGAGGACTTTGATTGTACATTGCTCTTGTTCTTTTTTTAATAGTAATTCCAAATAACATGAGATGCATTGTCACAGGAAGCCCCTTGCCCTCCTAAAAGCCACCCCACTTCTCTCTAAGGAGAATGGCCCAGTTCTCTCCTGAGTCCACACAGGGGAGGTGATAGCATTGCTTTCATGTAAATTATGTAATGCAATTTTTTTTTTTTTGAGACAGAGTCTTCTTCTGTCGCCCACGCTGGAGTGCAGTGGCGTGATCTCGGCTCACTGCAAGCTCCGCCTCCTGGGTGCACACCATTCTCCTGCCTCAGCCTCCCGAGTAGCTGGGACTGCAGGCATCCACCACCACGCCTGGCTAATTATTATTATTATTATTATTATTATTATTATTATTATTTGTATTTTTAGTAGAGACAGTGTTTCACCATGTTAGCCAGGATGGTCTCAATCTCCTGACCTCGTGATCCGCCCGCCTTGGCCTCCTGAAGTGCTGGGATTATAAGTGTAAGCCACTGCGCCCAGCCTAGCACAATTTTTTAAATCTTTGCCTTAACACTTTTAAAATTTTGTTTTATTTTAAATGATCAGCCTTCATGGCTCCCCCTTTTTTGGCCCCCAACTTGAGATATATGAAAGCTTTTGGTGTCCCTGGGAGTGGGCGGAGGGCAGCCAGGGGCTTACCTGTACACTGACTTGAGACCAGTTGAAAAAAAGTGCACACCTTAAAAAAATCATATATTTCTTTGGGTTAATGTCTTAATCATTTACTATTTTTTATGAGTTGCAGTGAAAATGAGATGAAAATCATTTTGCAATTTAGTCCTATGTATCATTAACTATACATTAAACTCCAGAGATCTGAAACAGTTAACAACTAACAACTATGTAGTAATTAAAAGTTTACAGAACACATCAACCATAACCAGAACCCACCTCTGCAACAACCCTGTAAGATAGATTTGTTATCTTATTTTACTGTTGAGAATACTGAGGTTTTGGAGAACATAATAACTGGAAATTTGTTTCTGATCAGTGTAATAGAAAACATCATTTTCTATATGTAGCTGGAAATAAGGATGAATCTGAAGACCTAATATGCATGGGGTATTTGGCCACAACAGAACCAGTATGTTTCTAGGAAGATGTGCTCCAGGACTGATGCATGATTTTTAAAATATTTTTAATTTTTTGTGAGTACAGAGTAGGTATGTATATTTATGGAGTACATGAAATTTTTAAAAATTTTTTATTTTTCCATAAGTTTTTGGGGTACAGGTGGTATTTGGTTACATGAGTAAGTTACTTAGTGGTGATTTGTGAGATTTTGGCGCACCCATCACCCAAGCAGTATACACTGCACCATATTTGTAGTCTTTCATCCCTTGCCCTCCTCCCACTCTTCCCCACAAGTCCCCAAAGTACATTGTATCATTCATGCCTTTGTGTCCTCACAGCTTAGCTCCCACGTATCAGTGAGAACATATAATGTTTCATTTTCCATTCCTGAGTTACTTCTCTTAGAACAACAGTCTCCAATCTCATCCAGGTCACTGCAAATGCTGTTAATTCATCCCTTTTTATGGCTGCATAGTATTCCATTTTATATATACACACCACAGTTTCCTTTTTTTTTTTTTTTTTTGAGACGGAGTCTCACTCTGTTGCCCAGGCTGGAGTGCAGTGGTGTGATCTAGGCTCACTGCAAGCTCCGCCTTCCAGGTTCACACCATTCTCCTGCCTCAGCCTCCCGAGTAGCTGGGACTACAGGCATCCACCACCATGCCTGGCTAATTTTTTGTATTTTTAGTAGAGATGGGGTTTCACTATGTTAGCCAGGATGGTCTAGATCTCCTGACCTTGTGATCTGCCTGCCTTGGCCTCCCGAAGTGCTGGGATTATAGGCGTGAGCCACCGTGCTCATAGATTGATGGGCATTTGGGTTGGTTCCGTGATTTTGCAATTGTGAATTGTGCTGCTATAAACATGCATGTGCAAGTATTCTTTTCAAATATGGCTTCTTTTCCTCTGGGTAGATACCCAGTAGTAGGATTCCTGGATCAAATGGTAGTTTTATTTTTAGTTCTTTAAGGAATCTCTATACTGTTTTCCATAGTGGCTGTACTAGTTTACATTCCCATCAGCAGTGTAGAAGTGTTCCCTGTTCACTGCATCCACGCCCATATCTACTGTTTTTTTATTTTTTTTGATTATGGCAATTCTTGCAGGAGTAAGGTGTTATCACATTGTGGTTTTGATTTGCATTTCCCTGATCATTAGTGATATTGAGCATTTTTTCATATGTTTGTTGGCCATTTATATATCTGCTTTTGAGAATTGTCTGTTCCTGTCCTTAGCCCACTTTTTGATGGGATTGTTTGTTTTTTTCTTACTGATTTGTTTGAGTTCTTTGTAGATTGTGGATATTAGTCCTTTGTCAGATGTATAGATTATGAAGATTTTCTCCCACTCTGTGGGTTGTCTGTTTACTCTGCTGACTCTTCCTTTTGCTGTGCAAAAGCTCTTTAGTTTAATTAGGTCCCAGCTATTTATCTTTGTTTTTATTGCATCTGCTTTTGGGTTCTTGGTCATGAAATCCTTGCCTATGCCAATGTCTAGAAGGGTTTTTCCAATGTTATCTTCTAGAATTTTTATAGTTTCAGGTCTTAGGTTTAAGTCCTTAATCCCTCTTGAGTTGATTTTTGTATAAGCTGGGAGATGAGGATTCAGTTTCATTGTCCTACATGTGGCTAGCCAATTATCCCAGCACCATTTGTTGAAAAGGGTATCCTTTCCCCACTTTATGTTCTTGTTTTCTTTGTCAAAGATCAGTTGGCTATAAGTATTTGAGCTTATTTTTGGGTTCTCTATTCTGTTCCATTGGTCTTATGTGTCTATTTTTATACCACCACCACCACCACACTGTTTTGGTGACTATGACCTTATAGTATAGTTTGAAATCAGGTAGTGTGATGCCTCCAGATTTGTTCATTTTGCTTAGTCTTGTTTTGGCTATGCAGGTTCTTTTTTGTTCCATATGAATTTTAGAATTGTTTTTTGTAATTCTGTGAAGAATGATGGTGGTACTTTGATGGGGATTGCATTAAATTTGTAGATTGCTTTTGGCAATACGGTCATTTTCACAATATTGATTCTACCCATCCATGAGCATGGGATGTGTTTCCATTTGTTTGTGTCATCTATGATTTCTTTAGAGGACTTTCAACTCCTTGGTTAAGTCAGTTCCTAAGTATTTTATTTTTTTTTGCAGCTATTGTAAAAGGGGTTGAGTTCTTGATTTGATTCTCTGCTTGGTTGCTGTTGGTGTATAAAAGAGCTACTGATTTGTGTATGTTAATCTTGTATCTGAAAACTTTGTTGAATTCTTGTATAAGTTCTAGGAGGCTTCTGGAGGAGTCCTTAGGGTTTTCAAGGTCAACAATCATATCATCAGCAAACAGTGACATTTTGACTTCCCTTTACTGATTTGGATGCCTTTTTATTTCTTTCTCTTGTCTGGTTGCCTTGGCTAGGACTTCCAGTACTATGTTGAAGAGGAGTGGCAAGAGTGGGCATCCTTGTTTTGTTCCAGTTCTCAGAGGGAATGTTTCCAACTTTTCCCCATTCAGTATTATGTTGGCTGTGGGTTTGTCATAGATGACTTTTATTACATTAAGGTAAGTCCCTTGTATGATGATTTTGCTGAGAGTTTTAATCATAAAGCAATGCTGGATTTTGTCGAATGCTTTTTCTGCATCTATTGAGATGATCATGTGATTTTTGTTTTTAATTGTGTTTATGTGGTATATCACATTTACTGACTTGTGTATGTTAAACCATCCCTGCATCCCTGGTATGAAACCCACTTGATCATGGTGGATTATATTTTTGATACATTGTTGGATTTGGTTAGCTAGTATTTTGATAAGGATTTTAGCATCTATGTTCATCAAGGATATTGGTCTGTAGTTTTCTTTTTTGGTTATGTCCTTTACTGGTTTTGGTATTAGGGTGATGCCGGCTTCATAGAATGAATTAGGGAGGGTTCCTTCTGTCTCTGTCTTGTGGAATAGTGTCAAAAAGATTGGTACCAAGTCTTCTTTGAATGTCTGGTAGAATTCTGCCATGAATCTATCTGGTCCTGGACTTTTTTCGTTGGTAATTTTTAAATTACCATTTTAATCTCACTGCTTGTTATTGGTCTGTTCAGGGTAGCTAATTCTTCCTGATTTAAGCTAGGAGGGTTTATTTTTCCGGGAATGTATCCATCTCTTCTAGGTTTTCTAGTTTATGTGAGTAACGTTGTTCATAGTAGCCTTGAATGATCTTTTGTATTTCAGTGGTGTCAGTTGTGATATCCCCTATTTTGTTTCTTAGCGAGGTTATTTGGATTTTCTCTCTCTTCTTGGTTAATCTTGCTTTTGGTCTATTAATTTTATTTATCTTTTCAAAGAACTAGCTTTTTGTTTCATTTATCTTTTGTGGGTTTTTTTTTGTTCTAATTTCATTTAATTCTGCTCTGATCTTGGTTATTTCCTTTCTTCTGCTAGGTTTGGATTTGGCTTGTTCTTGTTTCTCTAGTTCCTTGAGGTGTGACCTTAGAATGTCAGTTTGTGCTCTTTCAGTATTTTTCATGTAGGTGTTTAGGGCTATAAACTTTCCTCTTAGCACCGCCTTTGCTGTATCCCAGAGGGTTTGATAGGTGGTGGCATTATTGTCATTCAGCTCAAAGAATTTTTAAATTTCCTTCTTGATTTCATTTTTGACCCAATGCTCATTCAGGAGCAGGTTATTTAATTTCCACGTATTTGCATGATTTTAAAGGTTCCTTTTGGAGTTGATTTCCAGTTTTATTCCACTGTGTTCTAAGAGAGCACTTGATGTCATTTCAATTTTCTTGAATTTATTCATGCTCATTTTATGGCCTATCATATGGTCTATCTTGGAGAAAGTTCCATGCACTGTTGAACAGAATGTATATTCTTGGTTGTTGGATGAAATGTTCTGTATATATCTGTTAAGTCAATTTGTTCCAACATACAGTTCAAATCCATTGTTTCTTTGTTGACTTTTTGTCTTGATGACCTGTCTAGTGCTGTCAGTGGAGTATTGAAGTCCCCCACTATTATTGTGTTGCTGTCTGATTTCTTAGGTCTATTAGTGATGGTTTTATAAATTTGGGAACTCCAGTGTTAGGTGTATATATGTTTAGGATTGTGATATTTTCCTATTGGACAAGGACTTTTAGCATTATATAATGTCCCTCTTTGTCTCTTAACTGCTGTTGCTTTGGTTTGTTTTGTCTGATATAAGAATAGCTACCTCTGTTCGCTTTTGGTGTCCATTTGCATGAGATGCCTTTTTCTACCCCTTTAAGTTTATGTGAGTCTTTATGTGTTTGGTGAGTCTCCTGAAGGCAGCAGATAGTTGGTTTGTGATTTCTTATCCATTCTGCAGTTCTGTATCTTTTAAGTGGAGCATTTAGGCCATTTACATTCAATGTTAGTATTGGAATGTGAGATACTGTTGCATTCATCGTGCTCTTGTTGCCTGTGTACTTTTTTTTGCTTTTTAACTTGTATTTTTGTTTTATAGGTCCCATGTGATTTACGCTTTAAAGAGATTCTGTTTTGATGTGTTTCCAGGATTTGTTTCAAGATTTAGAGCTCCTTTTAGCAATTCTTGTAGTGGTAGTTTGGTAATGGCGAATTCTCTCAGCATTTGTCTGTCTGAAAATGACTGTATCTTTACTTCATATATAATGCTTAGTTTTGCTGGATACAAAATTCTTGGCTGATAAATTTTGTTTGAGGAGGCTGAAGATAGGGCCCCAATCCCTTCTAGCTTGTAGGTTTTCTGCTGAGAAATCTGCTGTTAATCTGATAGGTTTTCCTTTATAGGCTACCTGGTGCTTCTGTCTCACAGCTCTTAAGCTTCTTTCCTTCATCTTAACTTTGGATAACCTGATGACAGTGTGCCTGGGAGAAGATCTTTTTCTGATGAATTTCCCAGGTGTTCTTTGTGCTTCTTGTATTTGCAAGTCTAGGTCTCTAGCAAGGCCAGGAAAGCATTCCTTGATTATTCCCCCAAATATGTTTTCCAAGCTTTTAGAATTCTCTTCTTCCTCAGGAACACTGATTATTCTTTGGTTTGGTCATTTAACATAATCCCAGACTTCTTGGAGACTTTGTTTATATTTTCTTATTCTTTTTTCTTTGTCTTTGTTGGATTGAGTTAATTTGAAGACCTTGTCTTTGAGCTCTGAATTTCTTTCTTCTACTTGTTGAATTCTGTTGCTGAGACTTTCCAGAGTAGTTTGCATTTCTAAAAGTGTGTCCAAAGTTTCCTGAATATTTGATTGTTTTTTTTCTTAAAGCTATCTGTTTCCTTGAATATTTCTCCCTTCACTTCTTGTATCATTTTTTGGATTTCCTTGCCTTGGGCTTTGCCTTTCTCTGATACCTCCCTGATTAGCTTAATAACTAATCTCCTGAATTCTTTTTTAGGTAAATCAGAGATTTCTTCTTGGTTTGGGTCCATTGCTGGTGAACTAGAGCGATTTTTTGGGTATGTCAAAGAGCCTTGTTTTGTCATATTACCATGGTTGGTTTTCTGGTTCCTTCTCATTTGGGTAGGCTCTGTCAGAGAGAAGGTCTAGGGCTGACAGCTGTTGTTCAGATTCTTTTGTCCCACGGGGTATTCCTTTGATGTAGTACTCTCCCCCTTTTCTTATGGATGTGGCTTCCTGTGAGCCAAACTGCTGTGATTGTTGTCTCTCTTCTGGGTCTAGCCACCCAGTGAGTGTACCTGGCTCTGGGCTGGTACTGGGGTTGTTTGCACAGAGTCCTGTGATGTGAGTCATTTATGGGTCTCTTAGCTGTGGATACCAGCTCCTGTCCAGTGGAGGTGGCAGCACAGGGGCGGTGCAATGGGCTCCATGAGGGTCCTTAATTTTGGTGGTTTAATGCTCTGTTTCATGCTGGTTGGCCTCCTGCCAGGCAGTGGCACTTTCCAGAAAGCATCAGCTGTGGTAGTGTGGAGAGGGACTGATGGTGAGCGGGGACCTAGAACTCCAAAGATTAAATGCCCCTTGTCTTCCATTACCAGGGTGTATAGGGAAAGACCATCAGGTGGGGGCAGGGCTAGGCATGTCTGAACTCAGACCCTCCTTGGGTGGGTCTTGCTGCGGTTGCTGTGGAGGATAGGGGTGAGATTCCTAAGTCACTGGAGTTGTGTACCTATAAGGATTAAGGCTACCTCTGCTGAGTCATGCAGGTTGTTAGGGAAGTAGGGGAAAGCCAGTAGTCACAGGGCTCACCCAGCTCCCATGCAAACTGAAGGGCTGGTCTCACTCCCATCATGCCCCGCCCCTCAAACCGCCCGGAGTCTGTTTCCAGGTGGAGGGTGAGACAGACTTGAAAACTTGCCCCGGGCTTCCTGCCTCCCAGCTGTGAAAGAAAAGGGCTTGGTTCTTACCCCACCTGTGGAGTCTGCACACTAGATTCTTTCCACTCCTGCCCAGTTCTGGCCAGGAGGTTCTCGCCCCATTCAAATTGTTACAAAGTTCAAAGATTTCCTTCTCGTCGTGGAGTTTTACCCCCTGCTCCTCTAGCCACCCTCCTGATGGATCCCTGTGGTGCCAGGCAGGAATGGGCTGCTTGGGGACCCAGTGAGCACCCAGGGCCTTTCTGCTGCTTTCTCTACCTCTGTATTTCCCTTGGCTCTCTAAATTGACTCAGCTCCAGGTAAAGTCAGAAACTTCTCCCACAAACAGACCTTCAGCTTCTCCAGCGGGGGTGTGTGTTTGGGGGAAGAGGGTCTTCTTTTCGCACTTCCGCAGTTGAGGCACTCACAATATTTGAAGTGTCTCCCAGGTCCTGCAGGAGCAGTCCACTTCCTTCAGAGGGCCTGTGGGTCTTCTCAGAATTGCTGTTTTGTTCTTGCAGTCGATCTGGAGCTACAGTTCACAATGCGAGCCTCCACACGCTGCTCTGTCTGGAGCTGCAATCTAGTCCTGCCTCCCATCCACCATGGTAATCTCTCATGAGATGTTTTGATACAGGCATGCAATGTGTCATAATCACATCATGGAGAATGGGTTGTCCATCCTCTCAAGTATTTATCCTCTGTATCACAAACAATCCAATTATACTCTTTTAGTTACTTTCAGTTGTACAATTAAATTATTATTGACTATAATAAAATAATTATTAAATTATTATTAACTATAATCACCCTGTCTTATGGTTTGAATCTGTGTCCCTGGCCAAATCTCATGCAGAACTATAATCCCCAGTATTGGTGGTGGGGCCTAATGGGAGGTGACTGGATCATGGGGGTGGATCCTTCATGAATGGGTTAGCACCATCCCACCTTGGTACTGTATACTGAGTGAGTTCTCACGAGATCTGGTAGTTTAAAAGTGTAGCCCCTCTCTCCTCTCTCCTGTTCATGACATGTAAGATGCTTGCTCTAGCTGTACCTTCTGCTGTAAGTGAAACCTTGCTGAAGCCTCCCCAGAAGCAGATACCACCATGCTTCCTATACAGCCTGTGAAACTGTGAGCCTGTTAAACCTGTTTTCTTATAAATTACTCAGTCTCAGATATTTATTTATAGCAATGCAATAATAGCCTAATATACTCTGTTGTGCTATCAAATACTAGGTCTTATTCATTCTTTCTATTTTTCTGTACCCATTAACCATCCCCACCTTCCCCATACCCCAACTTTCCTTCCCAGCCTCTAATAACCATCCTTCTACTCTCTGCCTTCATGAGTTCAATTGTTTTGATTTTTAGATCCCCAAAATAAGTGAGAACATATGGTTTGTCTTTATTTCACTTAACATGATGACCTCGTTTCATCCATCTTGTTGCAAATGACAGGATCTTATTATTTTTTGTGGCTGAATAGTACTCCATTGTATGTACCATGTATGTATCCATTCATCTGTTAATGGACACTTAACTTTCAGATGTTGCCTGCTGTGAACAGTGCTGCAACAAACATGGGAACTGATGCATGATTTTCGTGGTAGACTTCGTTGCCATGTATTCAAATGCATTTTAGATGATAATTGGGACATTGCCAGCCATGGCAGGCCATGGAAAGGCTAGGGTTCTATAGAGAAGATGTAAATAACAAGTCAAGCAAGTGCTGCTAGGAAGAGAGCATTACAGGACTACAAATTCAAAGACTGGAAAAGACCCTGTGGACCATTACTGCTTTCTTGATCTTTCAAGAAGGCTTGAATAGAGAGAGTAGCTCTCTGTCAATGTGGCTGGACTTAGATATGTAAACATTTTTCTACTTTTAAATACATTCTTTTAAGTATGAGTGGCCCTTCTCTCCTGAATCTATTCCTTAAAATTTAAACAAAATTTATGGGTACATAGTAGGTATATATATTTATGGAGTACCATCACTGTACTCTCTATCTCCCTGAGTTCAGTTGTTTTAATTTTAGTTCCCACAAATGAGTGAGAATACGTGAAGTTTGTCTTTCTGCGCCTGGCTTATTCCACTTAATGTCCTCCAGTTTCATGCATGTTGTTGCGAAGTACAGTATCTCATTGTTTTTTATGGCTGAAAAGTATTCCATTGTGTATATGCACCACATTTTCTTTGTCCATTCATCTGCTGATGGACCCTTAGGTTGCTTCCAAATCTTGGCTATTGTGAACAGTACTGTAATTAACATGGAAGTGCAGCTATATCTTTGATATACTGATTTCCTCTTTTGGAGTATATACCTAACAGTGCGATTGCTGGATAATATGGTAGCTCTACTTTAGTATTTTGAGGAACTTCCAAACTGTTCTCTCTAGTGGGTGTGCTAATTTACATTCCCACCAAAACTGTAGGTTTCTCTTTTCTCCACATCCTCACCAGCATTTGTTATTTATTTATTTATTTTTTAAGGTTTTTTTTTTTTTATACTTTAAGTTCTAGGGTACATGTGCACAATGTGCAGGTTTGTTACATAGGTATACATATGCCATGTTGGTCTGCTGCACCCATTAACTCATCATTTACATTAGATATTTCTCCTAATGCTATCCCTCCCCCAGCCCCCTCACCCCACGACAGGCCACAGTGGGTGATGTTCCCCGCCCTGTGTCCAAGTGTTCTCATTGTTCAGTTCCCACCTATGAGTGAGAACGTGCAGTGTTTGGTTTTCTGTCCTTGTGAGAGTTTGCTGAGAATGATGGTTTCCACCTTCATCCACGTCCCTGCAAAGACATGAACTTACCCTTTTTTATGGCTGCATAGTATTACGTGGTGTATATGTGCCACATTTTCTTAATCCAGTCTATCATTGATGGACATTTAGGTTGGTTCCAAGTCTTTGGTATTGTGAATAGTGCCACAATAAGCATACGTGTGCATGTGTCTTTATAGTAGCATGATTTATAATCCTTTGGGTATATACCCAGTAATGGGACGGCTGGGTCAAATGGTATTTCTAGTTCTAGATCCTTGAGGAATCGCCATACCGTCTTCCACAATGGTTGAACTAATTTACACTCCCACCAACAGTGTAAAAGTGTTCCTATTTCTACACATCCTCTCCAGCATCTGTTGTTTCTGGGCTTTTTAAAAAAAATTATTATACTTTAAGTTCTAGGGTACATGTGCACAATGTGCAGGTTTGTTACATATGTATACACGTGCCATGTTGGCGTGCTGCACCTGTTAACTCATCATTTACATTAGGTATATCTCCTAATGCTATCCCTCCCCGCTCCCTCCACCCCATGACAGGCCCTGGTGTGTGATGTTCCCCACCCTGTGTCCAAGTGTTCTCATTGTTCAATTCCCACCTATGAGTGAGAACATGCAGTGTTTGATTTTCTGTACTTGTGATAGTTTGCTGAGAATGATGGATTCCAGCTTCATCCATGTCCCTACAAAGGACATGAACTCATCCTTTTTTATGGCTGCATAGTATTCTGTGGTGTATATATGCCATGTTTTCTTAATCCAGTCTGTCATTGATGGACATTTGGGTTGGTTCCAAGTCTTTGGTATTATGAATAGTGCCTCAATAAACATACGTGTGCATGTGTCTTTATAGCAGCATGATTTATAATCCTTTGGGTATATACCCAGTAATGAGATGGCTGGGTCAAATGGTATTTCTAGTTCTAGATCCTTGAGGAATCACCACACTGTCTTCCACAATGGTTGAACTAGTTTACAGTCTCACCAACAATGTAAAAGTGTTCCTATTTCTCCACATCCTCTCCAGCACCTGTTGCTTCCTGACTTTTTAATGGTCGCCATTCTAACTAGTGTGAGATGATATCTCATTGTGGTTTTGATTTGCATTTCTCCGATGGCTAGTGATGACGAGCATTTTTTCATGTGTTTTTTGGCTGCATAAATGTCTTCTTTTGAGAAGTGTCTGTTCATATCCTTCACCCACTTTTTGATGGGGTTGTTTGATTTTTTCTTGTAAATTTGTTTAAGTTCTTCGTAGATTCTGGATATTAGCCCTTTGTTAGATGGGTAGATTGCAAAAATTTTCTCCCATTCTGTAGGTTGCCTGTTCATGCTGATGGTAGTTTCTTTTGCTGTGCAGAAGCTCTTTAGTTTAATTAGATCCCATTTGTCAATTTTGGCTTTTGTTGCCATTGCTTTTGGTGTTTTAGTCATGAAGTTCTTGCACATGCCTATGTCCTGAATGGTATTGTCTAGGTTTTCTTCTAGGGTTTTTATGGTTTTAGGTCTAACATGTAAGTCTTTAATCCATCTTGAATTGATTTTTGTATAAGGTGTAAGGAAGGGATCCAGTTTCAGCTTTCTACATAAGGCTAGCCAGTTTTCCCAGCACCATTTGTTAAATAGGGAATCCTTTCCCCATTTCTTGTTTTTGTCAGGTTTATCAAAGATCAGATGGTTGTAGATGTGTGATATTATTTCTGAGGGCTCTATTCTGTTCCATTAGTCTACATCTCTGTTTTGGTACCAGTACCATGCTGTTTTGGTTACAGTAGCCTTGTAGTATAGTTTGAAGTCAGGTAGAGTGATGCCTCCAGCTTTGTTCTTTTGGCTTAGGATTGTCTTGGCAATGCAGGCTCTTTTTTGATTCCATATGAATTTTAATGTAGTTTTTTCCAATTCTGTGAAGAAAGTCATCGGTAGCTTGATGATGATGGCATTGAATCTATAAATTATCCTGGGCAGTATGGCCATTTTCACAATATTGATTCTTCCTATCCATGAGCATGGAATGTTCTTCCATTTGTTTGTATCCTCTTTTATTTCGTTGAGCAGTGGTTTGTAGTTGTCCTTGAAGAGGTCCTTCTTGTCCCTTGTAAGTTGGATTCCTAGGTATTTTATTCTCTTTAAAGCAATTGTGAATGGGAGTTCACTCATGATTTGGCTCTCTGTTTGTCTGTTATTGGTGTATAGGAATGCTTGTGATTTTGTATCCTGAGAATTTGCTGAAGTTGCTTATCAGCTTCAGGAGATTTTGGGCTGAGACGATGGGGTTTTCTAAATATACAATCATGTCATCTGCAAACAGGGACCATTTGACTTCCTCTTTTCCTAATTGAATATCCTTTATTTCTTTCTCTTGGCTGATTGCCCTGGCCAGAACTTCCAACACTATGTTGAATAGGAGTGGTGAGAGAGGGCATCCTTGTCTTGTGCCAGTTTTCATTTTTTTTTTTTTTTTTTTTTTTTTTTTTTGAGACGGAGTCTCGCTCTGTTGCCCAGGCTGGAGTGCAGTGGCGGGATCTCGGCTCACTGCAAGCTCCGCCTCCCGGGTTCACGCCATTCTCCTGCCTCAGCCTCCCAAGTAGCTGGGACTACAGGCACCCGCCACTACGCCCGGCTAATTTTTTGTATTTTTAGTAGAGACGGGGTTTCACCGTTTTAGCCAGGATGGTCTCAATCTCCTGACCTCGTGATCCGCCCGCCTCGGCCTCCCAAAGTGCTGGGACTACAGGCGTGAGCCACCGCGCCCGGCCATTGTGCCAGTTTTCAAAGGGAATGCTTCCAGTTTTTGCCCATTCAGTATGATATTGGCTGTGGGTTTGTCATAAATAGCTCTTATTATTTTGAGACACATCCCGTCAATACCTAGTTTATTGAGAGTTTTTAGCATGAAGCGTTGTTGAATTTTGTCGAAGGCCTTTTCTGCATCTATTGAGATAATCATGTGGTTTTTGTCTTTGGTTCTGTTTATATGATGGATTACGTTTATTTATTTGCATATGTTGAACCAGCCTTGCATCCCAGGGATGAGGCCTACTTGATCGTGGTGGATAAGCTTTTTGATGTGCTGGTGGATTCAGTTTGCCAGTATTTTATTGAGTATTTTTGCATCAATGTTCATCAGGGATATTGATCTAAAATTCTCTTTTTTTGTTATGTCTCTCCCAGGCTTTGGTATCAGGATGATGTTGGCCTCATAAAATGAATTAAGGAGGATTCCCTCTTTTTCTATTGATTGGAATAGTTTCAGAAGGAATGGTACCAGCTCCTCTTTGTACCTCTGGTAGAATTCGGCTGTGAATCCGTCTGGTCTTGGACTTTTTTTGGTTGGTAGGCTATTAGTTATTGCCTCAATTTCAGAACCTGTTATTGGTCTATTCAGGGATTCAACTTCTTCCTGTTTTAGTCTTGGGAGGGTGTGTGTGTCCAGGAATTTATCCCCATCTTCTAGATTTTCTAGTTTATTTGCATAGAGGTGTTTATAGTATTCTCTGATGGTAATTTGTATTTCTGTGGGATCGGTGGTGATATCCCCTTTATCATTTTTTATTGCATCTATTTGATTTTTCTCTTTTCTTCTTTATTAGTCTTGTTATCAATCTATCAATTTTGTTCATCTTTTCAAAAAACTAGCTCCTGGATTCATTGATTTTTTGAAGGGATTTTTATGTCTCTATCTCCTTCAATTCTGCTGTGATCTTAGTTATTTCTTGCCTTCTACTAGCCTTTGAATGTATTTGCTCTTGCTTCTCTAGTTCTTTTAATTGTGATGTTAGGGTGTCAATTTTAGATCTTTCCTGCTTTCTCTTGTGGGCATTTAGTGCTATAAATTTCCCTCTACACAGTGCTTTAAATGTGTCCCAGAGATTCTCGTATGTTGTGCCTTTGTTCTCGTTGGTTTCAAAGAACATCTTTATTTCTGCCTTCATTTCGTTATGTACCCAGTAGTCATTCAGTAGCAGGTTGTTCAGCTTCCATGTAGTTGAGCCGTTTTGAGTGAGTTTCTTAATCCCGAGCTCTAGTTTGATTTTACTGTGGTCTGAGAGACAGTTTGTTATAATTTCTGTTCTTTTACATTTGCTGAGGAGTGCTTTACTTCCAACCATGCGGTCAATTTTGAAATAAGTGTGATGTGGTGCTGAGAAGAATGTATACTCTATTGATTTGGAGTGGAGAGTTCTGTAGATGTCTATTGGGTCTGCTTGGTGCAGAGCTGAGTTCAATTCCTGGATACCCTTGTTAACTTTCTGTCTCATTGATCTGTCTAATGTTGACAGTGGAGTGTTAAAGTCTTCCATTATTATTGTGTGGGAGTCTAAGTCTCTTTGTAGGTCTCTAAGGACTTGCTTTATGAATCTGGATGCTCCTTTATTGGGTGCATATATATTTAGGATAGTTAGCTCTTCTTGTTGAATTGATCCCTTTACCATTTTGTAGTGGCCTTCTTTGTTCCTTTTGATCTTTGTTGGTTTAAAGTCTGTTTTAACAGAGACTAGGATTGCAACCTCTGCTTTTTTTTTTTGTTTTCCATTTGCTTGGTAGATCTTCCTCCATCCCTTTATTTTGAGCCTATGTGTGTCTCTGCATGTGAGATGGGTTTCCTGAATACAGCACACTTGGGTCTTGACTCTTTATCCAATTTGCCAGTTTGTGTCTTTTAATTGGAGCATTTAGCCCATTTACATTTAAGGTTAATACTGTTTTGTGTGAATTTGATCCTGTCATTATGATGTTAGCTGGTTATTTTGCTCGTTAGTTGATAAAGTTTCTTCCTAGAATCGATGGTCTGTACAATTTGACATGTTTTTGCAGTGGCTGGTACTGGTTGTTCCTTTGCATGTTTAGTGCTTCCTTCAGTAGCTCTTGTAAGGCAGGCCTCGTGGTGACAAAATCTCTCAGCATTTGTTTGTCTGTAAAGGATTTTATTTCTCCTTCACTTATGAAGCTTAGTTTGGCTGAATATAAAATTCTGGGTTGAAAATTCTTTAAGAATGTTGAATATTGGCCCCCACTCTCTTCTGGCTTGTAGAGTTTCTGCTGAGAAATCCACTGTTAGTCTGATGGGCTTCCCTTTGTGGGTAACCCAACCTTTCTCTCTGGCTGCCTTTTACATTTTTTCCTTCATTTCAACTTTGGTGAATCTGACAATTTTGTGTCTTAGCGTTGTTCTTCTCAAGGAGTATTTTTGTGGCTTTCTCTGTATTTCCTGAATTTGAATGTTGGCCTGCCTTCCTAGGTTGGAGAAGTTCTCCTGGATAATATCCTGAAGAGTGTTTTCCAACTTGGTTCCATTCTCCCTGTCACTTTCAGGTATACCAATCAGATGTAGATTTGGTCTTTTCACACAGTTCCATACTTCTTGGAGGCTTTGTTTGTTTCTTTTTACTCTTTTTTCTCTAAGCTTCTCTTCTTGCTTCATTTCATTCATTTGCTCTTCAATCACTGATACCCTTTCTTCCACTTGATCAAATCGGCTACTGAAGTTTGTGCTTGCATCACGTAGTTCTCGTGTCATGGTTTTCAGCTCCATCAGGTCATTTAAGGACTTCTCTATGCTGTTTATTCTAGTTAGCCATTCGTGTAATCTTTTTTCAAGGTTTTTAGCTTCTTTGTTATGAGTTCAAACATCCTCCTTTAGCTCAGAGAAGTTTGTTATTACCGATCGTCTGAAGCCTACTTCTCTCAACTTGTCAAGGTCATTCTCCATCCAGCTTTGTTCCGTTACGGGTAAGGAGCTGCATTCCTTTGGAGGAGGAGAGGTGCTCTGATTTTTAGAATTTTCAGCTTTTCTGTTCTGGTTTCTCCCCATCATTGTGGTTTTATCTACCTTTGGTCTTTGATGATGGTGATGTACAGATGGGGTTTTGGTGTGGATATCCTTTCTATTTGTTAGTTTTCCTTCTAACAGTCAGGACCCTCAGCTGCAGATCTGTTGGAGTTTGCTGGAGGTCCACTGTAGACCTGTTTGCCTGGGTATCACCAGCGGAGGCTGCAGAACAGCAAATATTGCAGAATGGCAAATGTTGCTGTCTCATCCTTCCTCTGGAAGCTTCGTGTCAAAAGGGCACCTGGCTGTATGAGGTGTCAGTTGGCCCCTACTGGGAGATGTCTCCCAGTTAGGGGGTCAGGGACCCACTTGAGGAGGCAGTCTGTCCATTATCAGATCTCAAACTCTGTGCTGGGAGAACCACTGCTCTCTTCAAAGCTGTCAGACAGGGACATTTAAGTCTGCAGAAGTTTCTGCTGCCTTTTGTTCAGCTATGCCCTGCCCCTAGAGGTGGAGTCTACAGAGGCAGGCAGACCTCCTTGAGCTGCAGAGGGCTCCACCCAGTTTGAGCTTCCTGGCCGCTTTTTTACCTACTCAAGCCTCAGCAATGGCAGATGCCCCTCCCCTAGCCTCGCTGCTGCCTTGCAGTTCGATCTCAGACTGCTGTGCTAGCAGGGAGCAAGGCTCTGTGGGTGTGGGACCCTTTGAGCCAGGCATGGGATATACTCTCCTGGTGTGCCGTTTGCTAAGGCCATTAGAAAATCACAGTATTAGGGTGGGAGTGTCCTGATTTTCCAGATACCATCTGTCACAGCTTCCCTTTGCTAGGAAAGGGAATTCCCTGACCCCTTGCACTTCCCGGGTGAGGCGATGCCCTGCCTTGCTCCGTGGGCTGCACCCACAGTCTGACAAGCCCCAGTGAGATGAACCCAGTATCTCAGTTGGAAATGCAGAAATCACCCATCTTCTGCGTCACTTATGCTGGGAGCTGCAGATTGGAGCTGTTCCTATTCAGCTATCTTGGAACCTCCTCTCAGCATTTGTTATTACCTGTCTTTTGAATACAAGCCATTTTAGTTGGGGTGAGATAATATCTCATTGGAATTTTGATTTGTATTTCTCTGATTACCAATGATGGTGGGCACTTTTTCATATGCCTGTTTGCCAGTTGTATGTTTTCTTTTGTGAAATGTTTATTCAGATCTTGTGCCCATTTTTTAATTGGATTATTAGATTTTTTCCTATTGAGTTGTTTGAGCTCCTTATATATCCTGGTTGTTAGTCCCTTGTCAGATGGATAGTTTGGAAGTATTTTCTCCCATTCTGTGGGTTGTCTTTTCACTTTTTTGATTATTTTCTTTGCTGTGCAGGAGCTTTTTTTTTTTTTTAAATTATACTTTACGTTTTAGGGTTGTGCAGAAGCTTTTTAACTTCATGTGATCCCATTTGTCTATTTTTGCTTTGATTGCCTGTGCTTTGGAGGTAATACTCAAGAAATTTTTGCCTAGACTAATGTCCTGGAGTGTTTCCCCAAAGTTTCCTTTTATTAGGTTGATAGTTTGAGGTCCTAGATTTAAGTATTTTGATTTGATTTTCGTATATGGCAAGAGATAGGGGTTTAGTTTCAGTCTTTCGCAGTTTTTCCAGCACCATTTGTGGAAGAGACTGTCCTTTCCCTAATGTATGATCTTGGCACCTTTGTAAAAGAGGAGTTCACTGTAGATGTGTGGATTTATTTCTGGGTTATCTATTCTGTTTCATTTGTCTATGTGTCTGTTTCTATGCTGTTATCATGCTGTTTTGGTTATTATAGCTCTGTAGTATAATTTGAAGTCAGGTAGTGTGATTCCTCTAGTTTTGTTATTTTTGCTTGGGATGACTTTGACTATTCTGGGTCTTTTGTGGTTCCATATACATTTTAGCATTATTTTTTCTATTTCTGTGGACAGCATCATTAGTATTTTGATAGGAATTGCATTGAATCTGTAGATTGCTTTGGGTAGTATGGACATTTTAACAATACGGTTGTTCCAATCCATGAACACTTTGGGTTGTTTTCAATTTCTCACATCAATGTTTTAAAGTTTTTATTGTAGACATGTTTCACTTCTTTGGTAAAGTTTATTCCTAGGTATTTCATTTTATGTGTAGCTATTGTATAAGGGAGTACTTTCTTGATTTTTATGTTAGATTGTTCACAGTTGGCATATAGAAATGCTACTGATTTTTGTATGTTGGTTTTGCATCCTGAAACTTTATTGAATTTGCTTATTAGTTCTGATAGTTTCTTGGTGAAGACTTTAGGTTTTTCCTAATATAAGATCATAACATCTACTTCATTGAATTTGTTTATTAGTTCTGACAGTTTCTTGGTGGAGACTTTAGGTTTTTCCTAATACAAGATCATAACATCTACTTCATTGAATTTGTTTATAGTTCTGACAGTTTCTTGGTGGAGACTTTAGGTTTTTCCTAATATAAGATCATGACATCTACAAACAAGGGTAATTTGACTTCTTCATTTCCAGTTTGGATGCCCTTTATTTCTATATCTTGTCTGATTGTTCTAGTTAGGAATTCCAGGACTATGTTGAATAACAGTGGTGAAACTGGGAGTCCTTGTCACATTCTAGATCTTAGAGGAAAGGCTTTCAGTTTTCACCGATTCAGTACAATACTAACTGTGGATTGGTCATATATGGCTTTTATTGTTTTGAGGTGTTTTCCTTCTATAGCAATTTTGTTGAGGGTTTTTTTCATGAAGGGATGTTTAATTTTATCACATGCTTTTTCAGCACTAATTGAAATGATCATATGGGTTTTGTCTTTCATTCTATTGACATGTGTATCACACTGATTGATTTGCATGTTTTGAACCATCTTTGCATCACTGGAATAAATCCCACTTGGTTATTATGAAGGATTTTTTTTTTTTGAGACAGAGTCTCACTCTGTCACTCAGGCTGGAGTGCAGTGGTGTGGTTTTGGCTCACTGCAACCTCTGCCTCCCAGGTTCAAGCGATTCTCCTTCCTCAGCCTCCTGAGTAGCTGGGATTACAAACATCCACCACTATGCCCAGCTAATTTTTGTATTTTTAGTAGAGACGTGGTTTTGCCATGTTGGCCAGACTGGCCTCTAAGTCCTGACCTCAGGTGATCCACCTGCCTCAGCCTCCCAAAGTGCTAGGATTATAGGCATGAGCCACCATGCCTGGCTGATGAGGATCTTTTAAATATGTTGTTGAATTTCATTTGCTAGTATTTTGTTGCAAATTTTTTGGATCAATATTCATCGGAGATATTGGCCTGTAGTTTTCTCTTTTTGCTGTGTCTTTGTTTGGTTTTGGTATCAGGTTCTGACCCCTGGAATGGACAGTTCCCTTCTGGCTATGGCTGGTCTAAATGTTCCCTCCATGGATTCCAGCTGTGTTGCTTTCCACTGTGAGAGGCCAGCATTGAGTTCCAATGCAAAGTCCCACAATCACTGTGCAACCCCTCCTCCAAGTGCACAGATTCTCTCTCTGAGGCCATTGCTGGAGGCTGAGTGAGGAGGTAGTGGAGACACTTCCGGACTGCTTTTTCTACTCTTTTCAGTGCCTCTTTCCTTGATGTGTTAGTCCATTTTCATGCTGCTGATAAAGACATACCCAAGACTGGGTAATTTATAAATAAAAGAAAGTCTAATGGAATCACAGTTCCACATGGCTGGGGAGGCCTCACAATCATGGTGGAAGGTGAAAGGCATGTCTTACATGGCAGCAGGCAAAGGGAATGAATGCTAAGCAAAAGGGGTTTTGCCTTATAAAACCATTAGATCTTGTGAGACTTATTCACTACCATGAGAACAGTATGGGGGAAACCACCCTCATGATTCAATTATCTCCCACTGGGAAACTCCCACTACATGTGGGAATTATGGGAGCTAGAATTCAAGATGGGATTTGGGTGGGGATACAGCCTAACCACGTCATTCTGACCTAGCCCCTCCCAAATCTCATGTCCTCACATTTCAAAACCAATCATGCATTCCCAACAGTACCCCAAAGTCTTAACTCATTTCAGCATTAACACAAAAGTCCACAGTCCAAAGTCTCATCTGAGACAAGGCAAGTCTCTTCTGCCTATGAGCCTGTAAAATGAAAAGCAAGTTAGTTACTTCCTAGATACAATGGGGGTACAGGCATTGGATAAAAACACCCATTTTAAATAGGAGAAATGGGCCAAAACAAAGGGGTTAAATGCCCCATGCAAGTCTGAAATCCAGCAGGGCAGTCAAATCTAAAACTCCAAAATGATCTCCTTTGACTCCATGTCTCACATACAGATCATGCTGATGCAAGAGGTGGGTTCCCATGATCTTGGGAAGCTCTGTCCCTGTAGCTTTGCAGGGTACAGACTCCCTCCCAGCTGCTTTCACAGGCTGGTGTTGAGTGTCTGCAGCTTTTCCAGGGGCACCATGCAAGCTGTTGGTGGATTTATCATTCTGGGGTCTATAGGACAGTGGCCCTCTTCCCACAGCTCCACTAGGCAATGCCCCAGTGAGGATACTGTGTGGGACCTCCAACCTACACTTGCCTTCCCCACTGCCCTAGCAGAGGTTCTCCATGAGAGCCCCACCCCTGCAGCAAACTTCTGCCTGGACATCCAGGCATTTTTTTACATCCTCTTAAATCTAGGTGGAAGTTCCCAAACGTCAATTCTTCTGTGCACCTGCAGGCTCGACACCATGTGGAAGCTGCCAAGGCTTGGGGCTTGCACCCTCTAAAGCAATGGCCCAAGCAGCATCTTGGCCCCTTTTAGCCATGGCTACAGTGGCTGGGATGCAGGGCACCAAGTCCCTAGGCTGTACACAGCGGGGGGGCTCTGGGCCCAGCCCATGAAACTATTTTTTCCTCCTAGGCCTCTGGACCTGTGATGGGAGGGGCTGCTGTGAATGTCTTTGACAAGCCCTAGAGACATTTTCCTCATTGTCTTGGCAATTAACATTTGGCTCCTCATTATTTATGCAAATTTCTGCCACAGGCTGGAATTTCTCCTGAGAAAATGGTTTTTTATTTTTCTATCACATTTTCAGGCTGTAAATTTTCTGGACTTTCATGCTCTGTTTCTTTATTAAAACAATGTTTTTAATAGCACCCAAGTCACCTCTTGAATGCTTTGCTGCATAGAAATTTCTTCTGCCAGGCTGGGTGTGGTGGATCATGCCTATGATCCGAGCACTTTGGGAGGCCAAGGTGGGTGGATCACTTGAGGTCAGGAGTTTGAGACTACTAGTCTAGCCAACATGGTGAAACCCTGTCTATGCTAAAAATACAAAAATTAGCTGGGCATTGTGGCATGTGCCTGTAATTCCAACTACTCAGGAGCCTGAGGCAGGAGAATTGCTTGAACATGGGAGGCAGCAGCTGCAGTGAGCCAAGACTGTGCCACTGCACTCCAGCCTGGGAAACAGAGTGAGACTCTGCGTCCCCCAAAATATTCTCCTGCCTAATACCCTAAATCATCTCTCTCAAGTTCAAAGTTTCACAAATCTCTAGGGCAAGGGCAAAATGCCACCAGTCTGTTTGCTAAAACATAGCAAGGGTCAACTTTACGCCAGTTCTCAACAAGTTCTTCATCTCCATCTGACACCATCTCAGCCTGGATTTCATCGTCTATATCATTATCAGCATTTTGGTCAAAGCCATTCAACAAGTCTCTAGGAAGTTCCAAACTCTCCCACAATTTTGTGTCTTCTTCTGAGCCCTCCAAACTGTTCCAGCCTCTTCCTGTTACCCAGTTCCAAAGTTGTTTCCACATTTTTGGGTATCTTTACAGCAGCGCCCCACTCTACTGGCACCAATTTACTGTATTAGTCTGTTCTCATGCTGCTGATAAAGACATACCTGAGACTTTGTAATTTATAAAGAAAAAGAGCTTTAATGGACTCACAGTTCCATGTAGCTGGGGAGGTCTCACAATCATGGTGGAAGGTAAAAGGCATGTCCTTCATGGTGGCAGGCAAGAGGGAATGAGAGCCAAGCAAAAGGGGTTTCCCCTTATAAAACTAACATATCTTGTGAGACTTATTCACTACCATGAGAACAGTATGGGGGAAAGTGCCTCCATGATTCAATTATCTCCTACTAGGTCTCTCCCACAACACGTGGAAATTATGTGAGATATTCTTCAAGATGAGATTTGGGTGGGGACACAGACAAACAGTATCACTTGATATGATGTTAAAACCAGGTACATGATTGCTCACCTGATTTTTCATTCTTATGAAGTGCTTTCTTGTGTGGATAGTTGTTCAATTTGGTGTTCCTTCCAGGGGGAGCATTCACTAGGGGCTTCTATTTGGCTATCTTGCATTGCCTCCCACCTATTTCTAAAGCAAGAATCTGTTAGGTAACATCCATTTGACTGCAATATCTGTGCAGTTGTTGTAGTCATGACACATCTTATTGTGTACAGCCAAATTTAGTCTTCCCCAGATTCTCTTTCTGTTTCCCTTTTCCTAGAAATTTTCCCTGCGTGATTTCATATATTCCCAAGTCTTGAAATATCACTGATATACTGGAGTGAAGTAGATTAGCACTACTTCACTCTGTTCCAGAGTTTTTCTTTTTCAAATTTAAATTCAATTCATATTATCTTCCAAGTCTTCTCTCTCTGTCTGTCTTAATTCCTGGCACTTCAATCATATCTATCCTAAGTTTCCATAATTTAGAAACCTCAATGTTTCTCTTCCTCTATGTAAAACAGGTCACTAAGTTGAGTTGATTCTACCCCTGAAAGCTCCGGAAGATGCTTTTACCTCTCCAAACCCATTGGCCACTGCTCTACTTAGCCTCTCATCATCTCCTTTATGGGTTGTTGCAACTGACCTCTGATGAGTCTGATCTCTGTGCTGTGGTTCTCCCTTTCTTCCAATCCATTCTTTGCATTTTTAAAAACGATTTTGCAAAACTGATTATGCTCCTCTGCTTGATTAAAATCTGAGTGAATTCCCTTAAGGCCAAATTCCATCCCCTAAGGGTTTTAGTCAAAGACTTTTGCAATCTGATTCCAATGTAACAAATATGTATGTGTGTATACAAATTGGAATCAGATTGTGAAGTTATTTAAATGTACATATGTACCTATGTATATGTGTGTGTGTATAAAATCTAGTTTAAGTTTTTCTTCTTCTTACCACATTATCTATGTGCTAATCGTAGTAGAGAATCCAAAATTCTTTAAGTAAAATGTGTACTTTCAAACCTCCATGCCTTTGCTCTTGCTGTATCCCACTTTAGAAAGTCCTTATTCCCATGACCAATATTCTATTTATGCACTATGATCAAGCTCAAGTATTGTCTTCTTTGTGAAACCTTTCTTGAGCATCCTTCTTAATTCCCTGTCCAACTTTCTGCTCTAACGTGAGATTAATCTCCGTGCTATAGAACGGACTTGAGCATTGCATTTAGAATGGCTTCAGTCATTACATTTCTGCCTATACTAAAAATATGGACTCTCCTGAAGGAAGGTAATAACCAAGGTTTTTTCACAAGGCTTGGTCCATGATCTTACTAACCTAAGTCCATTCGATGCTGTCTGGTGTCTTCTCATTTGAACTTGTTACATCCTATCATTCTCAGAACTCTGGAGGTTAACCACGTCTGGACAAGGCCATTCCAAAGCTGGAGAGGGAAATGTTACAGTAATGCAGCCTCTTTGCATAATCATTCAGTTTCTATTGATTCCTTATTCCTTAGACTTCTATTCTTGATTTTTTGACCCTATGCCTGACCTAACTTCAGGTAGCTGAGCCTGTGCTGTTAGCCACCTGCCTGGTTATTTTCTCCTGTCAATTAGCTGCCAGCTGAATCCCTGGGTGCTGGATGCCTGCCATCTGTACCTGTCATCATCTCTGGCCATTTGCCAAGTTCCTCTCCTTCTATGCCTCCATGGTCGCCTGAAATCCGTTACCTTGACTCTCTTTGTTCTGACCAGAGACCTCTATTCCAATCTTAGAAGACAAACTGATAATTTGTTACCTTTGAGGAGAGATATAAAGGCACTTATACTGAAAATATTTTATGGATATCTCTTTTTTGGTTCAAAATGCAGAATATGACTGAGAAAACGACTCTGAACAGATAATTATGACAGGGACAAAAATGGGGAATGAGAAAATTCTGGAGTGTAGGGGTGATATGGTTTGGCTGTGTCCCCATCCAAATCTCAATTCGAATTGTATCTCCCAGAATTCGCACATGTTGTGGGAGGGACCCAGGGGGAAGTAATTGAATCATGGGAGCTGGTCTTTCCCATGCTATTCTCATGGTTGTTGTTAAGTCTCATGAGATCTGATGGTTTTATCAGGGGTTTCTGCTTTTGCTTCTTCCTCATTTTCTCTTGCTGCTGCTATGTAAGAAGTGCCTTTTGCCTCCTACCATGATTCTGAGGCCTCCCCAGCCATGTGGAACTGTAAGTCCAATTAAATCTCTTTTTCTTCCCAGTCTCAGATATGTCTGTGTCAGCAGCATGAAAATGGACTAATACAAGGGGGATCCCCATAGGAAGGTCTGCATGATACATGACAGTCATAGGATGTCTAGGGATGAGGCACCATTGATGGTGAAGAGACTTCAGGCCTGTACTGATTGCTATGCTGTAATTGTGCAGCATAAACTAAGGCTCTCTTACAGTTGAGGCAGATACACAATATACTAGTAGCAGATATATTCAAACTTTGGATTTGGGTGCATTAGATTTGGGAGTAGGTCTGATAATTTAAATACATAGGGAAAGCTCCATGTGTCTCTTTGTGTACATGATACATTCCAGGACCTGGCATTCAAGATGTATTATTGAAAAAAATCATAAAAGTTCCTTGGAATGTTCTGTTTTGTAGAAAACCTCACATTTAATTATATCAAATCATACCATATAATTTACTTTTTATTGTTGTTTAAGGTGGGACAAATGCTCTTCTTTCTCACTGGTAGAACTATGCATTCAGAGATTTACAATGCAATAATGTGGCTTAAGTAGACATGGTTTGGGTATAATAGGTATCCAGAAATACTGTGCTGTCAAGAAAGGAGTGGGATCTGTTTACCAAGGTATGCAATAGGGGCTGGAGAAGTTATCCAGTGATAGAGGCTTGGCCTGAAACAAGCAGCTAGGCTGCTCAAACACAATATGCTCAAGTCTCATCCTGGAAGGAAAAGGTTCCAGGTAATCCAAAATCAATATTCAGATGCCAGAGTATCCACTGCCAAGTGGTGACTGTTTTGGGAGCTCCTCCCATACTCATATGGAGACATTAGAGATAAATTCATTCTTAGGGAAGAGCTGGAAAGAACTAGAATCCAAGAGGAATTATAGTACAGTGGAAGGAATATTACTTATTAACAGCAATGTGAATTTGCTTAAGTTTTAAAAATTCTCTAAGCTTTAGTTTTCTTTTGTATAAAACAGTGATAAAGCATCTAATGATACTGTTGAGAGCTAAAGGTGTAATACATGATAAGATATTAAATATATGAAGAGCTTTGCATAGTGCCTTGCTATTAGATGTGCTCACTAAGTCATTCACTGCCTAGCCATCCTCAAATCTTTTTTATTCGATTTAATTTTTATGGATATAAATAGTTGTATATATTATTGGGCTAATGTGATATTTTGATACGAGCATACAATGTGTACTAATTAAATCTGGTAATTGGAATATCTATTGCCTCAAACATTTATCATTTCTTTGTGTTGGGTACATTCCAGATCTTCTCTTCTAGCTATTTTGAAATACACAATAAGATATTGTTAGCTATAGTCACCCTGTTGGGCTACTGAACACTAGATCTTATTCCTTCTAACCGTATTTTTGTACCCAGTAACCAATCTCTCCTTATCCTCCCTTCTCCTCTACCCTTCCTGGCCTCTAGTAACCACCGTTCTACTCTATACCTCCGTGAGATCCACTATTTTAGCTTTCACATATGAGTGAGAACATGCGATGTTTGTCTTATTTCACTTAACGTAATGTCCTCCAGTTCCATCCATGCTATCGCAAATGACATTTCATTATTTTTTTTATGATGGAATAGAATTCCATTGTGTATATAGACCATGTTTTCTTTATCTATTTGTCTGCTGATGGACACAGGTTGATCCCATATCTTGGCTATTGTGAATAATGCTGCAGTTAATGTGGAAGTGCGAATACCTCAAGTCTCTTTTTTAATCCCGGAAATCAAAGTCACCTTCATTTAATAGGTGACTTTGATTTCCAGCCAAAAATAATAGAAATGCGGGCAGAGCTCCAGTCCTGAAGGGGGTTGTGCCAGGGTAATAAGTCAGATGGATGAGACAAAAGTGGTGGTGGGGGGGATAAGCTGCTCAAAGCTCTTTCATAATCCACTGGTTTCTGTTTCTGCTCAGTAAAATGAAGGAATCAGAAAATACTTGAACATAAAAAGACAATTTGTATTAGTTACTGATGCCAAATGTGCACAGAAGCTGGTCTTAATAAATATGACAATAGTAAAAAAATGCCTGAGTCGTTCTTTGATGTTATGCTTCTGAGCCCCAGAATGACAAGAAACATCATTTTTTTAATACTCCAAAAATAATGTTGCCTTGTCTTTTTTTTTTCCTGAGGAATGCTAAAGCAATGTTTTTCCTGCCTGATGCTATTTTATTATTAAAAAACCTTGATGTCCCATTAACTTCTATATGAATGATGAAACTGTGTAAATCTCTCTAGTGGCCAGACTAAACTCAAGGAAGCCACTTAAAATCATGTGCTAACCAAAGAATGCCTTCCTTTATTACTCTGCCAGTGTTCTTACGTGGCATGAGAAAAGCAGCCTGTGATGGGGTGAGCTCTGGGGGAAGATAACAGGGTTGAGCACAGAGATAAATGGGTACTCCCCGGTGCTGTGGAGGCAGCTTCCGTGGGGATTATCAGCTATCTGTGCAAATGTGATTTCAGATCATAATGCATTCATGGTAATTCTGCCTATTGCTATGCAACAAGGCTGATTTCCCCCATATAAATGAAAGCAGGAATTAAGAAATTTAGTATCAGTGATTTGTAAAGCAGTATATTTCAGAGATTCTGTTGAATACTTTATTAGAAAGAGCTACACAATGAAATATGAGTGAGGTTTCGAAAGTTCCCACTTGCTTATTCTATAAGGCATAATCAGGTGACTGAAGCATTTAGGGAAAAAGTGAGAGGATTGATTTAAATATGGCTTGCAGGCCAAATCTGGTTCACTTCCTGTTTTTGTATGACCTGTGAGATAAGAGAATTTTATTTTTACATTTTTGTAAAATTTTTACATTTTTGAAAAAAAATCAGAAAGAAGACTACTTTGTGACACCTGTTAATTATATAAAATTTAAATTTCAGTGTTAATAAATGAAGTTTTATTGCAACACAGTGCCATTAATTCATTTACATAGTCTATGGCTGTTTTTGTGCTAAAATGACAAAACTGAGTCATGGCAACATGGTGTATAAAGGCTAAAATTTTTATTATCTGGCCTTTTGTAGAGCAAGTTCATTTTTCCTTCATCTAAACTTTTAGCATAGCTAAAATAACATGACAAATCATAACTAGTTCACTTTCTTTGTAGCATAAAAATGTAAAGTTTTAGAATTTAAAGCACATTGGATGACAAAGATTGACAAATTCCTGTACTAATCCGTTGAGAATATGTGAAATGTCAGTGTCTGACACATAGTAGGCATTTTAACTACTTATTACATGAATGAATGAAATGACTATGACTTTTGAGGTAGATAACAGGCAAATGCTAAATATATATGGTTTTGGTAGTAGGAAGGACTTATCACTATGGCTTTGATCATGATGCAAACTAGATTATGATATACATACAAGTCATGTATTTATATGTTGTCTATCTGAGATGACAATATATGCTAATATTTCCTTCTTGGAATACTGATGAAAACCAAGACTTGTTTATCCAAGCCCTGTAAAATAATGATGATCTTCTTATACTAAGAAACATCAAGGATCAATTTTATTTGTTTTGCAAGTAATGGACACATTATCAAACTAAAGGGCAATTAATCCTTTTCCTAAACCTACTGTATTGGAGAGGAATATATTCTGCTAAAACTAGTAGATGGTTAGTCTACTAGTTAGCCTGGCTAATGGAGGCTTAAACAAACAGGTGTTTATTTGCCTATTTATCTTTTTGACTCAATTATGCCATTTGGGACCTAAGCCTTTTCTAACTTTTCCCTCTACTGTCATTGGCATATTGATATGTAATTTCATTGTTGTACTATAGCTGCTGTCAGCCCAGAAATCACACCTGTGTTCAGTGCAGGAAGCAAGTGTGGTGGGGTGGGTTGGGATGGCTGATGGGGTTGTCTAAGCCTTATCAGAAAAAGCAAAAGTTCCTAAAAGCCCCCATCTGACTTCTGTTTATGTCCCAATGGCTAGAATTGTGTCATATGGCCAATTGTAGCTTCAGGGATAGGCTGGGAATGTGTTTAAACTTTAGTGAAGGCAGGCAGGTGAAAGAGGAATGGCTATTGGGAGTATCTCTCACACCCACCCATAAATCTAGGTAACATTCTGCAGAAGCCTCTTTTTTTTTTGAAACAATTGCTCCAATCTTTTTGTTTGTTTAAGGGCCAAAGACAAAAGGAGAAATGAGCGCAGCACCATTCAGCAGGCATTTGCTGAGTTAGATACCAGTGATAGCTATTTCAGAGAATATTGTTCATGTTCATTTTCTAGATTATCCCAAAACATCATGTTTTCTATATTGTACAAGCAGAGTTAATAGTTATACACATTTGGAGAGGAAAGAGGCATTTAATCATCTTTGTGACTTCTGCAAAGCAATTAAACATTTTTGTGCAGAAACATTTCACATTAAACTGGGACTGGGTGTGAAAAATGTTCATCTGTCTCCATTTTAATCCTTATTCTACAATAAAAATGCAAATCAGAGCATGTTGGAGCAAGAAGGAGGGTCTTCACAGGCCGTTTAGTCCAAAGCCCTGATCTGTGATTTAAAATGGGCCTCATTGTGCCAGCCCTGTGTGCATTTGTCTATGTCTTACCCAGGATGACAGGGCAGAGCTGCCTGCTTTATTACTGCAGCCTTAATGACTTCCCTGATTTGATATCCAATCTACAGGTCCCTACTTTTCCTTTTCTGATTGCCTTTGAATGTACAGCAGGTGGAAACTTATGGACTCAGTGCCAAATATTCTTTCTGTTTTCATTGCTCCTGTTTCCTTTTGAATGGTAGGTGATTTAATCATGTCCAAATGCAAGTCCTACTGTTGCTCTGGAATCAGTTTTGAGGGGAAGTCTTTCTGTGGTACTCCTGATCTGATTTGCAGGAAATCACAGATGCTGAAGAAATTTAAGAGATCATCCAGTCCAACCTGATTTTTTGGATGAGAGCAGTGAATCCAAGAAAGTTTAAGTAAAGTGTTCAGGGTTACACAGCTATTTAGTGCCAAAATAGAAATTTGGTTTGGACAAACATCACAAGTTCTCATTTATCTGTGGGAGCTAGAAATTAAAACAATTGAACTCATGGAGATGGAGAGTAGAAGTATTGCTACCATAGGATAGGAAGGGTCGTCAGGGGTGGGGGTGTTGGGGGGAAGGGGGAATGGTTAATGGGTACAGAAACACTTAGAATAAATAAGACCTAGTATTTGCTAGCACAACAGGGTGACTATAGTAAAAAATAATTTAATCATTCATTTAAAAATAACTGAGAGTATAATTGGGTTGTTTGAAACGCTAAGGGTAAATGCTTGACGTAATGGATACTCTGGTTACCCTGATGTGATTATTATGCATTGCATGCCTATATCCAAAAATCTCATGTATCCAATAAATGTATACACCTACTATATACCCACAAAAATTAAAAATAAAAAAATTTGGTTCTAACTTCTAACCCAATATTCTTTTCATTATACCACGCCACAGAGAAGACTATATTGTCTAAGATTATACACAGGAGCAAAGGCAATATAAAACAAAACAAAAAGGGGATTCTGAGATTTGACACAGAGACGAAGACCTATGCTCATGTCTTTAACCTGCCCTTTCAGAAAGGGCTTTATTGAAAGAACAAAATAATCTAACAAGATTTAGAAAAGAGCTTTATTTGGGGTATGCTTGCCATACAATAAACTGCACATATTTTAAGTATACGATTTCAAGTACACACACACACACACACACACACACACACACACACACACAGAGAATGAAACAATAGCTACAGTCAACATAATAAACATATCATATAGTGGGTCTTTTTAATGGGTTCTCTGTTGTAAAAAAACTAGAAATCTGAAGTTTTTAAATCTTTTTTCTGAAACTTTTATTTTAGGCTTGGGGGCACATGTGAAAGGTTTGTTACATAGGTAAACTCGTGTCACAAGGGTTTGTTATACAGATTATTTAATCACCCAGGAATTAAACCCAGCATCCAATAGTTATCTTTTCTGCTCTTCTTTCTCCTTCCTTCCTCCACCCTCAAGAAGAACCCCGGTGTCTGTTGTTTCCTTCTTTGTGTTTGTAAATTTTCATCATTTAGCTCCCACTTATAAGTGAGAACATGTGGTATTTGGTTTTCTGTTCCTGTGTTACTTTGTTGAGGGTAACAGCCTCCAGCTCCATCTGTGTTCTCACAAAAACATGATCTCATTCTTTTTTATGGCTGCATAGTATTCCATGGTGTATATGAACCACAATTTCTTTATTCAGTCTGTTGTTGATGGGCATTTAGGGTAATTCCATATCTTTGCTATTGTGAATAGTGCTGCAATGAACATTTGCGTGCATGTGGCTTTGTAGTAAAATGATTTATATTCCTCTGGCTATATACCCAGTAATGGGATTGCTGGGTCAAATGGCAGTTCTGCTTTTAGCTCTTGAGGAATTGCCATACTTAATTTACACCTCCCACCAACAGTCTATAAATGTTCTTTTTTCTCCACAGCATCACCAGCATCTATTATTTTTTGACTTTTTATTAATAGCCGTTCTGACTGGTGTGAGATGGTATCTCATTGTGGTTTTGATTTGCGTTTCTCTAATGATAAGTGATATTGGGCATTTATTCATAAGCTTGTTGGCTGCATATATGTCTTTTGAAAAGTGTCTGTTCATGTCCTTTGCCCACTTTTTAATTTGGTTGGTTGTTTTTCTCTTGTAAATTTGTTTAAGTTCCATATAGATACTGGATATTATATCTATTAGACGCACAGTTTGCAAAAATATTCTGTTCTGTAGGTTGTCTGTTTACTCTGTTGATAGTTTCTTTTGCTGTGCAGAAGCTCTTAAGTTTAATTAGATTTCACTTGTCAATTTTTGCTTTTGTTGCAATTGCTTTTGGTGTCTTTGTCATGAAACTTTTGCCCATTCCTATGTCTAGAATGGTATTGCCTAGGTTGTCTTCTGGGTTTTTATAGTTTTGGATTTTATATTTAAGTCTTTAATCCATCTTGAGTTGATTTTTATATATGGTTAAGGAAGGGGTCCAGCTTCAATCTTCTGCATATGGCTAGCCAGTTATCCCATCATCATTTATTGAATAGGGACTCCTTTCCCCATCATTTGTTTTTGTCAGTTTTGTTGAATATCAGATGGTTCCAGGTGTGTGGCCTTATTTCTGGACTCTCTATTCTTTCCATTGGTCTGTGTGCTTGTTTTTGTTACTGTAGCCATATAGTGTAATTTGAAGTCAGGTAACATGGTATCTCCAGCTTCGTTGTTTTTGCTTAGGATTGCCTTTGCTATTTGAGCTCTTTCTTGGTTCCATATTAATTTTAAAATAGTTTTTTTTTTTTGCTCTGTGAAGAATGTCACTGTTAGTTTGATAGGAATAGTATTGAATCTGTAAATTGCTTTGGGCAGAATAGCCATTTTAATGACATTCATTCTTCCTATCCATAAGCATGGATGTTTGTCCATTTTTTTTTTTTTTTGCCTTCTCTGATTTCTTTCAGCAGTGTTTTTTTTTTTATTATACTTTAACTTTTAGGGCACATGTGCACAATGTGCAGGTTAGTTACATATGTATACATGTGACATGCTGGTGCGCTGCACCCACTAACTCGTCATCTAGGATTAGGTATATCTCCCAATGCTATCTCTCCCCCCTCCCCCCACCCCACAACAGTCCCAGAGTGTGATGTTCCCCTTCCTGTGTCCATGTGTTCTCATTGTTCAATTCCCACCTATGAGTGAGAATATGCGGTGTTTGGTTTTTTGTTCTTGCGATAGTTTACTGAGAATGATGATTTCCAATTTCATCCATGTCCCTACAAAGGACATGAACTCATCATTTTTTATGGCTGCATAGTATTCCATGGTGTATATGTGCCACATTTTCTTAATCCAGTCGATCATTGTTGGACATTTGGGTTGGTTCCAAGTCTTTGCTATTGTGAATAGTGCCGCAGTAAACATACGTGTGCATGTGTCTTTATAGCAGCATGATTTATAATCCTTTGGGTATATACCCAGTAATGGGATGGCTGGGTCAAATGCTATTTCTAGTTCTAGATCCCTGAGGAATCGCCACACTGACTTCCACAATGGTTGAACTAGTTTACAGTCCCACCAACAGTGTAAAAGTGTTCCTATTTCTCCACATCCTCTCCAGCACCTGTTGTTTCCTGACTTTTTAATGATTGCCATTCTAACTGGTGGGAGATGATATCTCATTGTGGTTTTGATTTGAATTTCTCTGATGGCCAGTGATGTGAGCATGTTTTCATGTGTTTTTTGGCTGCATAAATGTCTTCTTTTGAGAAGTGTCTGTTCATGTCCTTCGCCCACTTTTTGATGGGGTTGTTTAAGTCTCAGGATACAAAATCAATGTACAAAAATCACAAGCATTCTTATACACCAATAACAGACAAACAGAGAGCCAAATCATGAGTGAACTCCCATTCACAATTGCTTCAAAGAGAATAAGATACCTAAGAATCCACCTTACAAGGGACGTGAAGGACCTCTTCAAGGAGAACTACAAACCACTGCTCAATGAAATAAAAGAGGATACAAACAAATGGAAGAACATTCCATGCTCATGGGTAGGAAGAATCAATATCATGAAAATGGCCATACTGCCCAAGGTAATTTATAGATTCAATGCCATCCCCATCAAGCTACCAATGACTTTCTTCACAGAATTGGAAAAAACTACTTTAAAGTTCATATGGAACCAAAAAAGAGCCCGCATTGCTAAGTCAATCCTAAGCCAAAAGAACAAAGCTGGAGGCATCACGCTACCTGACTTCAAACTATACTACAAGGCTACAGTAACCAAAACAGCATGGTAATGGTACCAAAACAGAGATATAGATCAATGGAACAGAACAGAGCCCTCAGAAATAACGCTGCATATCTACAACTATGTGATCTTTGACAAACCTGACAAAAACAAGCAATGGGGAAAGGATTCCCTATTTAATAAATGGTGCTGGGAAAACTGGCTAGCCATATGTAGAAAGCTGAAACTGGATCCCTTCCTTACACCTTATACAAAAATCACTTCAAGATGGATTAAAGACTTACATGTTAGACCTAAAACCCTAAAAACCCTAGAAGAAAACCTAGGCATTACCATTCAGGACATAGGCACGGGCAAGGACTTCATGTCTAAAACACCAAAAGCAATGGCAACAAAAGCCAGAATAGACAAATGGGATCTAATTAAACTAAAGAGCTTCTGCACAGCAAAAGAAACTACCATCAGAGTGAACAGGCAACCCACAAAATGGGAGAAAATTTTCACAACCTACTCATCTGACAAAGGGCTAATATCCAGAATCTACAATGAACTCAGCAGTGTTTTATAATTCTCATTGTAGAGTTCTTTCACCTTCCTGATTAGCTGTATTCTTAGGTATTTCATTCATTTTGTAGCAAATGTGAATGGGATTGCCTTTCTGATTTGGCTCTCTGCTTGGCGGTTGTTGGTGTATACGAATGCCAGTGATTTTTGTATTAATACATTGATTTTTGTAATCCTGAAACTTTGCTGAAGTTGCTTATCAGCTTAAGAAGCTTGTAGGCCAAGACTATGGGGTTTTCTAGATATAGAATCATGTTGTCTGAAAATAGATCGTTTGACTTTCTCTATTCCTATTTGGATGCCATTTCTTTCTCTTGCTTGATTGCTCTGGCTAGGACTTTCAATACTATGTTGAATAGGAATAGCGAGAGAGTGCATCCTTGTCTTGTGCCAGTTTTCAAGGGGAATACTTCCAGCTTTTGCCCTTTCGGTATAATTTTGGCTGTGGGTTTGTAATAGATGGCTCTTATTGAGGTATGTTCCTTCAATACTTAGTTCATTGAAAGTTTTTAACATGAAGGGGTGTGGAATTTTATTGAAAGCCTTTTCTGGGTTTATTGAGGTAATCATGTGGTTTTTGTTTTTGGTTCTGTTTATGTGATGAATCATATATATTGATTTGCATATGTTGAACCAACATTGCATCCTAGGATGAAGCCTACTTGATCGTGGTGTATTAGCTATTGATATGCTGCTGGGTTCAGTTTGTCAGTATTTTGCTGAGGATTTTTGGATCGATGTTTATCAAGGATATTGCCTGAAGTTTCCTATTCTTGTTGTGTCTCTGCCAGGTTTGGGTATCAAGATGAAGCTGGCCTCATGGAATAAGTTGGGGAGGAGTCCCTCATCCTCAGTTTTTTGGAATAGTTTCTGTAGGAATGGTAGCAGCTCTTCTTTGTACATCTGGTAGAATTCAGCTGTGAATTCGTCAGTTCCTGGGCTTTTTCTGGTTGATAGGCTATTTATTACTGATTCAATTTTGGAGCTTGTTATTGGTCTGTTCAGGGAATCAGTTTCTTCCAGTCTTAGGAAGGTGTTTATGCCCAGGAGTTTATTGATTTCTTCTAGGTTTTCTGGTTTGTGTGCATAGAGGCATTCGTAGTAGTTTCTGATGGTTATTTGGGTATCTTTATTTCTGTGGGGTCAGTGGTAACATACCCTTCACCATTTCTAATTGTTTTTATTTGGATCTTCTCTCTTTTCTTCTTTATTAGTCTAGCTAGTGGTATATCTTATCATTTTTTTCAAAAAACCAACTCCTGGATTCACTGATCTTTTGAATAGGCACTGTTAAGATTTATCTTTCTCAATTTGATGATGACATGTCTTGGTGTAATTTTGTTCACATTTATTTTCCTTGGAGTTAATTGAGTTTCTTGAATCTGTGGGTTGACAATTTTCACCAAACTTAGGAAAATTTCAGCTATAAAATTTTCAAAAATTTTTCATCTTTTTAATCCCTCTCCTTTTTAGGGCCTCTGAAGACACATATTATTACACTTGTATTTGTTTCACAGCTCCCTGATACTATATTATTTTAAAAATTCTCTTTTCTCTTTTTTTATTATTTCTATTGTTGCATCTTTAAGTTTGCTAATCGTTTATTCTTCAATTTCTTTTCTGTCATTAATCCCATCAGTGTATTTTCATTTTATGCACTGTAGTTATAATATCTAGAAATGCAATTTGGATCTTTCAAATATTTTCTGTGTCTCTGCAAATTAATTTGAATGTATAAATTACAACAATGAGTCTTTCAATGTTCTTGTCTACTACTAATAACATTTGTGTCAGTTCTAATACATTCTTCTCCTCACTATGCATTCTACTTTTCTGGTTTCTTTTTTCAGGCATGGTAATCTTTGGTTGGATGGCAGACATAGTGAATTTTACTTTTTGGATGCTGGATTTGCCGAAGTGTACTGGTTAAAGAAGCAATGAAACCATCAAAACTTAAATATCATTTAAATGCAGAAGTTAAAGAAGTTTAAAATCAAAATTATTTTTCTGAAAAACTGAACAAATAAAGCTAAGAAAGCATTTTTCATTGAAACTTGATGAATGTACATGTTAGTAATTTTGATTAGTATTAAATCAGTATTTTCCTTTGGGACTAGTGACATGTGCATTCATCAAGTATATGTGTAATTTGAACATGATGGTGATATGAAGAATTACAGCATTTTTTAGCCTAATTGCCATCAAACATAATGAGCTCTGAAATGTATAAAACTATGGAGAATTACATCATCAACGAATGTGGTTTGGAGTTTTAAGTTTTGCATGGGAGTATTTTTTGACTGTGCAGCTGCAATGACAGAAAAATATTCTGAGTAGTTACTTAAGTATGAATTTATATATTATGTATGTATATATTTTTTCAAACATGGTGACATCACACTATATCTACAGTTTTTAGCCTGCATTACTTACAAGATAATAGCCATTTACTAATATAATGCTGGTATCTTTCTCTGTCATCACAATTTATAAAGATTGGATAATATCCCATTGTAGGTTCTATTTAACTAGTTTTGCACTGAAAAACAAGTCTCAATTATTTACTTTCTTTACTTATTTGAGACAGCCCTATAATGAGCGTCCAAATAGACACGCATGCACGTGCACATGTGCATCCACCCACACATGCATTCATATATATTATTGCATTCTTGTCCATTTTTTTCCTTAGGTTAAATTCTTGTTAAGATGAAAGGATGATGCCAAAGAACACAATACATATTGCCAAATGTGCCTGCACACCCTCTCAAACTATGGGCAAATACAATTTAATCTTAATTGTTTACAAGCAAAATTGATTGCTTGTAGTCATAATG
Source organism: Homo sapiens (assembly GCF_000001405.40). Classification (NCBI taxonomy): domain Eukaryota; kingdom Metazoa; phylum Chordata; class Mammalia; order Primates; family Hominidae; genus Homo; species Homo sapiens. The sequence goes on from NC_000009.12 coordinate 100,769,247, forward strand.
TGTACAACCTTCACTAATAAGAATGTTGCTTGCTTTTCATGTTTATTAACCCATTGTTTTCACTCTTTTGTGAGTTGTCTGATCATATGCTTTGCCCGTTTGTAAACTGGAGTCATTTCCCTTTTCATATTGTTTGTAAAAATTCTTAAATTATCTCTTGCTCATTTATATTACAAATCTTTTCCAAGTGTGCCATTTAAATTTTGCCTTTCTTATATTTTTGCCAATATTTAAATGTTGATATTAAATCAGTTTTTCTTTTTGATTTCTTTGTTATCATGCTTAGAAATATCTCTGCTATTCAAAATATTCAAAATTTTGCATATATTTATTAGTTTTTAGCATTTTAATTTTATATTTAAGTTTTAACACATCTGAAATGTAAAAAATGGAACACTTAAGATATTATATTTATCAGCTAGCCAACATAACAAAGTGCCACAGGCTGGGCGGCTTAAACAGCAGTCATTTATTTTCTCATATCTGGAGACTGGAAGTCCAAGATCAAGGTGAGGTTGGGCCAGGCTTCTGGTGAGGCCTCTTTTCTTGGTTAATAGAGGGCTGCTTTCTTGCTGTGTCCTCACATGGCCTTTCTTTTGTGCTCGCTCAGAGAGGCAGAGGTTTCTAATATTTCTTCCTTTTATAAAGACACCAGTTCTATTGGATTCGAGCCTACCCTTATGACTTCATTTAACCTTTATGACTTTTTCATACGCCCTATCTCCAAATATAGTCATAGTGGGAGTTAAGGCTTTGACCTGTGAATATTTCAAGGAGCAAGATTGAGGCCATAACAGACATCCATTTTATTTATTTATTTATTTAATAATTTTTTTTAATTTCCATAGGTTTTTGGGGAACAGGTGGTATTTGGTTACATGAGTAAGTTCTTTAGGGGTGATTGGTGAGATTTTGGTGCACCCAACACCTGAGCAGTTACACTGAACCCAGTTTGTAGTCTTTTATCCCTCATCCCCCTTCCATCCTTTCCCCCAAGTTCCTAAAGTCCGTTGTATCATTTTTATGCCTTTGCATCCTTATAGTTTAGCTTCCACTTATAAGTGAGAGTGTATGATATTTGGTTTTCCATTCCTGAGTTACTTCACTTAGAATAATAGTCTCCAATTCCATCCAGGTTGTGTGAATGCCATTAACTCATTCCTTTATATAGCTGGATAGTATTCCATCATAAATATGTATACCACAGTTTCTTTATCCACTTGAGTAACAGACATCTATTTTAAAAAATGGCTGGTCAGTTTTCCTGATACTATTGATTGAATGATTCATCATTTCCCCCACTAATTTGAAATTACATTTTTATAATTTAATATATTCTTAATTAGGTTTTATGTAGTAAATATTCATTTGGGTTTACCTGCATATTTACCAATATATTTTCTTACCATTTCTTCAGACTACCTGTAGTCATCTTTCTTCTGATGAAGTATATCCTTTAGAGGTTTTTTATTATAATTTTCATTTTTAAAGGTAAAGCACAAGTTTTGTTATACGTAGGACTCCTTTGTTTTGAAAAGATTGTTCCACTGTCTTATTGTATTTGAGATTGGCAGTTATTTTCTCTTAGTACATTGTAATAATTATCTATATTTCACTACTTTCTGCATCCCATTGTTATTGAAGAGTCAGCTGTCAATCAATTGTCATTTCTTTGTTGGTGCTTTGCCCTTTCTTTCTGTCTGTATTTAATTTATTTTTTCCTTTTTATGTTCTGCAGCTTCACAGCAATGTGTCTGGGAGTGTATTATTCTGGAAGTGTCTGGGAGACTGGATATATTGGGGTTCTTGGATCTGAGAAATAGAGTCTTCTCAGATCAGTCACTGTTCTTTCAAATACTGCCTGTCTTAAATGGAACTCTGATTGAACCTATATTAGACCTCTAGCTCAATCCTCCCTGGCTCTTAACCTTTTATTCATTATTTTCATCTTTTTTTTTCTTGAGTTCATGTTGGATAATTTTTAATATCTATTTTGTAGACCACTAGTTCTCTTTATAGCTGCATCTTGTTTGCTATTTTATTCCTCCATTGAGGTTTCGAGTTCATTTATTTTAACATTCACTTCTATAACTCCATTTTGTTTCAACTCAGTATGCTTAATAATTTCTTATGGTCTCTTGTTTCTTTCTCACATTTTCAAGTTCCCCTGTTATCTTTAAAACTTTGTTGATATAATTATTTTATTTTCAGTGCCTGATAATTATATTACCGGTGGTCTTTGCAGACCTTTTCTGGGATCTACTTTTTGTTTCTTGCTCATAGTGCCTTTTTTTCCTTTGTGTGTTTTGTAATATTTTTATTGTGGACTCTTCATTTTCTTTGGAACTCTGAGTTCTGGATTGAAGTTGAGTTCCTCTAGATAGGATTAGCATTGGCTTTTGCCAGTTGCTTAGTGGAACTACCAACCTTGAGCAACTTCGAATTGTATTTTGATTGAGGACTCACACAGGTGGTATGAATTGGGGCTGCAAACTTACGTGAGAACTAGCTTGTTACTAATTCTCAGGGATATTTTTCTCTCCACCTAGTGTCAAGGTAAAGACAGGCAAGATTTTGCTGTTTGTTTTTGTTCAGTGAGATTCATTTCTCATCTTGGACCTAGGACTCCTAGCTTTTATATGTAGTTTAAAAAAAGCTGGTTTACTCATTTTGAGGAAATCACAGGCTTTATCTCTTTGTGTTGGGATCTTCACGGCCTCAAAGTGTAAGCTTAAAGTCCTTAGGGCTCAACAGAAACCTTAGGATAAAAGCTAACTTTGGTGTTTGATTACTCTTGGGGTTCCTGCTTTCACTTTATTTTTGGGCTCTATGTATACTTTATTTCCTGTTCAGTTTTGCATTGCATTGAATTTGTTCATTTCATAATTTTATCAATATGTTATTATTTCAAGCTTGAGGGCTATTCATTGACTCTTATCCACCATATTGCCATAAGTAGAAATCTTGGTAATTTATTTTCTCCTTAATCTTTTTTCCCTACGTTTTTGGCATTTACTTTGGCAATAAGAAAATTCCATGCAACTATACAGTAAGACATGATAACTTTTAAATGGGAATATTTGACTCTTACAGAAATGACTTTCTATATAAACACAATTTTTTTCTTGAGCTAAATGCTTTCCAGTTTCCCTAGCACTCTTGGTACACTTGGCACAACACTGACATTTATATATTTATTTATTTCCAGGTTAACTTTCTATTTCTTTTTTGTAATATTAACAAATGCTTTTTAATTGAAGATGGAAAGCCACCCATTCTGTACTAGCTCAGTCCTTGATCATGTTCTCTTTCCCTTGCCACACAGTCATACTTAAAACATTAGTGCTAGCTGTTAGTCTGTTTGGGCTGCTATAACAAAATACCATAAACTGGGTGGCTTATAAATAAGATAAATTTATTTCTTACAGTTTTGGAGGCCGTAGGCATAGGTAGATTCTGTGTGTGTTGAGAACCCGTTTCTTGGTTCATAGACTGCATCTTTTTGATGTGTCCTTATGTGGCAGATGAGACAAAGGATCTCTCTTCGGCCTCTTCTATAAGAGCGCTAATTGCATTCATGGGGTCTCTGTTCCCATGACCTAATCACCTCCCAAGGGCTCCACCTCCTAATACCTTGGGGGATAGGATTTCAACATATGAACTTTAGCGGAACACAAATATTCAGTCTACAGCACTAGTAATATTTACTATTTAGCCAGAAGCATTAAAGTCACCAGTTTCTTTAAAGGGATCACATTTTATCAACCCCATTAGTAGCCTACTTAATGCAATCTTATTTATTATTTAACTAGAAACATTAAAATCACTGGTTCCTTTAAAAGGATATTATTTTATCAACTACATTGGGAATCTACTATGTGCAATCTTAGACTAATTGAATAGAAAAAGGAAAACTAGTACATTATTCCAGGTTCAACTATTGGAACCTGTAGCATTTGATGGGAAAACACAAATAATGAAATATTTGTTATTTACCCTATATTTCAGCTCTTTCTTCTTCAGCGGGAAGAAATCTGTATTATGACATTATTATGTAAAATACTTGATGATGCCCATGAAGAAACAAGTGTACAAAACTGCATTTACAGTATTTTTATTCATGCCATCCTCTGGCACGAAGACTATCTGCATTTAAAAACATATTAAAGGTAGTTTCATATAGGGATTTAGAAAGAAAATAAGTTGATGAGGCTTTATCTCAATAAATTTTTTTGGATTGAGCTGAGGGAATGTATAGATGATCTTGTTTCCTGAAACCATCAGGTTATTTTAGGTCTTGGTTGGCTAAGTTTTCATGGGGGAACATCTTTCCTAGATTGTCAAAAACATCATAATATCATTAAGTACACTAGCACAAACAGAGGAGAGTTTTCACAACTGCCTTTGGTTCCCACCTGGAGATTTTCAGCATTGGCTTTGGCATTGCCTGAGAAGATATTTCAAGTGCCACCCTTGCTCTAAAGAGCATGCTGAAATGTTTATTTGCAGAGCGACCCTTTCGCTCTGCATGTAATCTAGTATAGGTACAGTATCCTGCTGAGGTAGGTGACCTTCCTGTGTCTTGCAGCTTCCTGTAAGAAACAGGGACCACACAGTCCTGATTGCTATGTGTCTCTCCCACCAGACTGCAAGGTCCTAGTTATCACTACATAGCCAGTGCCCTGCAAAGTGTCATGCATGTAATAGATTTGCAATAAATACCTATTAAATGAATAAATGTGTGAATATTGGACTTTTTCAGGAACAGGTTTTCTATAACTATCCCTTTCCCTTTCTCCTTCATCTCAGAATGATACCTAAAGAAAGCTAAATCTTTCACACTGAGAAACAGCCTTGAAAAAATAAAAAAAGGAAAGTTAAATGTAGAGAAATCCTTTATCATCTTTTTCAGTGGGAATTTTCTGGCCAAAAGAAGGTTTCAAACTCAGATTAGTGTTTATATTTCTTGGAAACTGGAGTTTGACTCTGCACTCACACTCATATTTGGCTTTTGCAAGTGTCTTTCATGTGTTGAATCTTCTGTGTTGCTTAAAAAAACCTCCCTTCTGATTCAACATATATTAATATTTATCAGGCATGGGATGTTGAATATTCTAGTCTGAGACATAAAGAGGGTAAGAATTAGACTCTTCTAATTCATATTTTAGACCTGATATACAGGAAGTGGTTGAAGTTAAGAAAGCCAAGGTAGAGATACTGTCATGAAAAGTGGGCCTGTGTTTGTCATTCCACCTGCTGTTAATTAAGGCACCAGGGAAGGCAGATTCTTTCTCTTGCTGTGAATGCTTTTCTCCGTAGGAAGGGCAGGGTTAGGAATTCCTTGGGTTTTTAAGGTTTACTTCCTTACCTATTCAACAAATATTTATTAAGCATCTACCATGTGCCAGGTACAGTGCTTAGGACCTTAAATAAATACATTAACAAATGTTTTCTCACTGCCAGTGATGGGCAGACATTGTTAATGTAGTGTCTGGCACATGGGATAAAATGCTATAAATATTAGTTGTGATTATTGTTATTAAAGTGGTCTCACAGTATGGGGGTGCACAGATCAATAATGTCAACTACATAGTGATTACATATCAGAAAGATTGAATACAGGATAACCAGATTTCAAGACGAAAATGTAGGAAATGTATGCCAACTTACTTATTTCAAGGAGAACACTTTCACCAAGATAGCAACCTTCATAGCTTGATCAAAGCAGCAACTTCAGGGGAAACTCAGTAATAGTCAGAGGCTCCTTAGGGGGCAGTCCACAGCAGGAAGTGTAGTAACGATCTTAATGGACACTATCATCCAGACCTATTCATCTCTTCTCAAGTGGCCAGGGCCCTTCATCTAATCAATGAGGGAGATACTGGTATGAGCCCTGGCTTCCTGACTGTCCTTTTCCCTGCTCCATGCTGCCTACTCTTTATGGTAGCCTGTTCTTTATCCAGGTCACTTAATATGTTAATTACATCCTGTCTTTACTAGTTTCTTTTTCAGAAGGTGCCCTTGCTTTCTTGTTCTGCAAGATCTTTTCTTTTCTTCCTGACTACAAATGGGAATTCTAAGACCTCATTCAGGTTGGGATACTGGTATTACTACCTGGAATCTTAATTTATGAGTCTTCCATTTTAGTATGAACATTTTGATTCAATTTATGGGCTTGCCATTTTAACAAATACTTCAGTTGTGAGATTTTGCCATGAAAATCATACTAGCATGCTAAACTGTTAGTGATATTTTAGGCATGCTAATCTCAATTTATGAATCGATGTCACAGTAAAGAAGTGAGATACAGTCTTGTCGCCACTCCTTCATGTCTATGGTACTGCCTGTGTAGTGTTTCCCCCAAAATGTGACTTTTTGAATTTTCATTGTGAACTTTTAGAATAATGTCATGGTCTGCTTTTTTGGGGGATTTGAAATAAACAGAAAAACCAATTCAACATTAGAGAAAAAACTTCGTTAATCAAATGACATTTTTTCAGCAGGCTCAGATTAAGCCAAACTCTACAAAATATATACCAATTACAGTGATGTTCTATCAAAAAGCAGAATGAATTATAATTATGATAATATTTTTAGCATATTATCAGATACACCACCTGCAGGAATTCCCATGTGTAGTGGTGATATTGTTTAAGAAAATGTGTCCCTTTAATATGTTTTTATATTATTTTAAGTAAAAATCTATTTAAAAGAAAACATGCATACAATGCAGGGAAACATCCAATTTTCCTGCACATTTCCAGATTATTAAATTTCATGTCACTCCACCTGTCTTTATTTTCAATATTAAGTGCCCTGATTCAATTTAATTCAATCAAACATTGACTGCACATTTACTATGCTTCAGTTATACCTTTCTGCCACTTCTAAGCTCCTATAAAACTTGCTGTTTGAACCACTTATATGGCACTGATTGATGTATTACGGTTATTTGTATTTAAGTCTTATCTACTCAACTACATTTCAAGGTCTTGAAGTTCAGGGAATTATATTTTTCTGTTCCTTTAATAATGTCTAATACCTAAGTACATAATAAGTGGTCAATCTATATTAGCTGATTGGATTAAATGAGTTAATCTCTGTAGCAGCACTTAGAATAGTTCCAGGGAAATAATAAGCAATATATGTGATGGTGAAATAAAAAAGGAAAATTAGTAAGTTAAAAAAATCCTAAGGTTGGTATATTTTGGAAAGAGTAGTATAGGACTTAATGTGGTATTGGGCACACAGATGGGGACAATGAATTTTTGGTAAATTATTCAACTGATGATTCCTATGAATTTATATGATGAGATTTTGCCAAGATTTGACCTGTTTAGAGACAACCAGAAAAGGCTATAGTCATTTGATAGAAATATTTGTGGGGAGGGAAAAGTATAGTGGGGATTAATCAGAAGGTGATAGGATAAAGGATAATTTATCCTTGGATGAGCATGTTTTGATAAGAATGAGGGATATTGGAATGAACTAGACACAAGAACTGGATTTCCCGCCTGGTTAGGACACATGGGTGAGGAGGTGGGAGGAGAATCAAGTGCTGGGAGGAGGTCCAGTGCCACCTACTCACATTCAATCTTAGACTCTATCAGGTAAGTGACTCTCAGCTGACGTCTTAGAGATGGGAGTAAGGAATGTTATGCAGAGGCCAACTAGAGTCAGATGCCCAAGAAGATCCTGTCACATAGTTTCAGTAGTGAAGGTAGAGTCAAGTCTGGGCTGGCGTCATTCTAACTGGCATCTGCTGGGGAGGTTGGTCCCTTGTATTCACACCATTATCTTTTTGGAAGAGGTCAATTCTGGTATTTATCATAAATTAATGTGTCCTGAAGCCTGAAGGCATCAACTGATGAACACTATAGTTCTCCAAATCGAATCAAACCATCATATTCAGAGCATTTGGCCACCAGCAAAATCAGGGGTCTGATACAAAATTTAATATCTAACAAAATCCTTTTCCATTTCTTTGACATTAAGAGATGTGGATCTAGTGAAGGCTGATGCAATTCTGTATCAGTTACTCACACAGACACACACACAAACACACACATGTGTGTGCATACATAAATCTAACAAAGTTAATTTCGGGTTCATTTTCTTCCTGAGCTTTTTTTGGTCAGAGCTTCAGCTGCAGCATGTTTTTCTTTGCAATTGAATGCACTGCTTTTTAATTTTTTAAAATCCAAACTAAAATTAAATTTTCCTTTTATAATTTTAACTAGTATGTGCCACATTAGTGTGTGAGAACACATTTGCATTAATACTCTACATCACAAAGTCTTCCTGCTTCCACTCTGTCTTCCTGAAATAAGTACGGTCTTCACCAGGTTCTTTGGAAATCCAGATGCTTACCTGTTTTAAAAACTCTGTGCTGAGTCCTTAGAGACCTACAAAGAGACTTAGACTCCCACACAATAATAATGGGAGACTTTAACACCTCACTGTCAACAGTAGACAGAGCAACGAGACAGAAAGTTAACAAGGATATCCAGTAATAGAATTCAGCTCTGCACCAAGCAGACCTAATAGACATCTACAGAACTCTCCACCCCAAATCAACAGTATATACATTTTTCTCAGCACAACACTGCACCTATTTCAAAATTGACCACATAGTTGGAAGTAAAGCACTCCCCAGCAAATGTAAAAGAACAGAAATTACAACAAACTGTCCCTCAGACCACAGTGCAGTCAAACTAGAACTCAGGATTAAGAAACTCACTCAAAACCGCTCAACTACATGGAAACTGAACAACCTGCTCCTGAATGACTACTGGGTACATAACGAAATGAAGGTAGAAATTAAGATGTTCTTTGAAACCAATGAGAACAAAGGCACAACATGCCAGAATCTCTGGGACACATTTAAAGCAGTGTGTAGAGGGGAAATTTACAGCACTAAATGCCCACAAGAGAAAGCAGGAAAAGTTCTAAAACTGACACCCTAACATCACAATTAAAAGAACTAGAGAAGCAAGAGCAAACACATTCAAAAGCTAGCAGAAGGCAAGAAATAACTAAGATCAGAGCAGAACTGAAGGAGATAGAGACACAAAAAACCCTCAAAAAATCAATGAATCCGGGAGCTGGGTTTTGAAAAGACCAACTAAATTGGTAGACCGCTAGCAAAACTAATAAAGAAGAAAAGAGAGAAGAATCAAATAGACACAATAAAAAATGATAAAGGGGATATCACCACCGATCCCAAAGAAATACAAATTACCATCAGAAAATACTATAAACACCTCTATGCAAATAAACTAGAAAATCTAGAAGAAATGGATAAATTCCTGGACACATACACCCTCCCAAGACTAAACCAGGAAGAAGTTGAATCTCTGAATAGACCAATAACAGGCTCTGAAATTGAAGCAATAACTAATAGCTTACCAACCAAAAAAAGTCCAGGACCAGACGGATTCACAGCCGAATTCTACCAGAGGTACAAGGAGGAGCTGGTACCATTCCTTCTGAAACAATTCCAACCAATAGAAAAACAGGGAATCCTCCCTAACTCATTTTGTGAGACCAGCATCGTCCTGATACCAAAGCCTGGCAGAGACACAACAAAAAAAAGAGAATTTTAGACCAATATCCCTGATGAACATCGATGCAAAAATCCTCAATAAAATACTGGCAAACCAAATCCAGCAGCACATCAAAAAGCTTATCCACCATGATCAAGTGGGCTTCATCCCTGGGATGCAAGGCTGGTTCAACATATGCAAATCAATAAACATAATCCATCATATAAACAGAACCAAAGACAAAAACCACATGATTATCTCAATAGATGCAGAAAAGGCCTTTGACAAAATTCAACAACCTTCATGTTAAAAACTCTCAGTAAATTAGGTATTGATGGGATGTATCACAAAATAATAAGAGTTGTTTATGACAAACACACAACCAATACCATACTGAATGGATAAAAACTGGAATCATTCCCTTTGAAAACTGGCACAAGACAGGGATGCCCTCTCTCACCACTCCTATTCGACATAGTGTTGGAAGTTCTGGCCAGGGCAATCAGGCAGGAGAAAGAAATAAAGGGTATTCAATTAGGAAAAGAGGAAGTCAAGTTGTCCCTGTTTGCAGATGACATGATTGTATATTTAGAAAACCCCATCGTCTCAGCCCAAAATGTCCTTAAGCTGATAAGCAACTTCAGCAAAGTCTCAGGATACAAAATCAATGTGCAAAAATCACAAGCATTCTTATACACCAATAACAGACAAACAGAGAGCCAAATCATGAGTGAACTCCCATTCACAATTGCTTCAAAGAGAATAAAATAGCTAGGAATCCAACTTACAAGGGATGTGAAGGACCTCTTCAAGGAGTACTACAAACTACTGCTCAACAAAATAAAAAAGCATACAAACAAATGGAAGAACATTCCATGCTCATGGACAGGAAGAATCAATATCATGAAAATGGCCATACTGCCCAAGGTAATTTATAGATTGAATGCCATCCCCATCAAGCTACCAGTGACTTTCTTCACAGAATTGGAAAAAACTACTTTAAAGTTGATATGGAACCAAAAAAAAGCCCACATTGCCAAGTCAATCCTAAGCCAAAAGAACAAAGCTGGAAGCATAACGCTACCTGACTTCACACTATACTACAAGGCTACAGTAACCAAAGCATCATGGTACTGGTACCGAAACAGAGATATAGACCAATGGAACAGAACAGAGCCCTCAGAAATAATACCACACATCTACAACCATCTGATCTTTGACAAACCTGACAAAAACAAGAAATGGTGAAAGGATTCCCTATTTAACAAATGGTGCTGGGAAAACTGGCTAGCCATATGCAGAAAGCTGAAACTGGATCCCTTCCTTACACCTTACACAAAAATTAATTCAAGATGGATTAAAGACTTACATGTTAGACCTAAAACCCTAAAAACCCTAGAAGAAAACCTAGACAATACCATTCAGGACATAGGCATGGGCAAGGACTTCATGCCTAAAACACCAAAAGCAATGGCAACAAAAGCCAAAATTGACAAATGGGATCTAATTAAACTAAAGAGCTTCTGCACAGCAAAAGAAACTACCATCAGAGTGAACAGGCAACCTACAGAATGGGAGACAATTTTTGCAATCTACTCATCTGACAAAGGGCTAATATCCAGAATCTACAAAGAACTCAAACAAATTTACAAGAAAAAAACACACAACCCCATCAAAAAGTGGGCGAAGGATATGAACAGATGCTTCTCAAAAGAAGACATTTATGCAGCCAATAGACACATGAAAAAATGCTCATCATCACTGGCCATCAGAGAATTGCAAATCAAAACCACAGTGAGATACCATCTCACACCAGTTAGAATGGCGATTATTAAAAAGTCAGGAAACCACAGGTGCTGGAGAGGATGTGGAGAAATAGGAACATTTTTACACTGTTGGTGGGACTGTAAACTAGTTCAACCATTGTGGAAGACGGTGTGGTGATTCCTCAGGGATCTAGAACTAGAAATACCATTTGACACAGCTATCCCATTACTGGCTATATACCCAAAGGAATATAAATCATGCTGCTATAAAGACACATGCACATATATGTTTATTTCAGCACTACTCACAATAGCAAAGACTTGGAACCAACCCAAATGTCCATCAATGATAGACTATATTAAGAAAATGTGGCACAAATACACCATGGAATACTATGCAGCCATAAAAAATGATGAGTTCATGTCCTTTGTAGGGACATGGATGAAGCTGGAAACCATCATTCTCAGCAAACTATTGCAAGGACAAAAAACCAAACACTGCATGTTCTCACTCATAGGTGGGAATTGAACAATGAGAATACTTGGACACAAGAAGGGGAACATCACACCCCAGGGCCTGCTGTGGGGTCAGGGGAGGGGGGAGGGATAGCATTAGGAGATATACCTAATGTAAATGACGAGTTAATGGGTGCAGCACACCAACATGGCACATGTATACATATGCACCAAACCTGCATGTTGTGCACATGTACCCTAGAACTTAAAGTATAATAAACAAACAAACAAACAAAAACGACAAAAAAAAACAAAACTCTGTGCTGGTGTTGAGCCATTTAGCTTTGAAGTTTTTTTTTTCTTTTCTTTTCTTTTTGAGACAGACTCTCGCTCTGTCGCCCAGGCTGGAGGTGCGATCTTGGCTCATTGCAACCTCTGCTTCCCAGTTCAAGTGATTGTTGTGCCTCAGCCTCCAGATTAGCTGGGATTACTAGCATGAACCACCTTGCCCTGCTAATTTTTTTTTTTTTTTTTTGGAGGTAGAGTCTTGCTCTATCCCCCGGGCTAGAGTGCAATGGGGCTATCTTGGCTCACTGCAACGTCCGCCTCCTGGGTTCAAGTGATTCTCATGCCTCAGCCTCCCGAGTAGGTGGCATTACAGGTGCTTACCACCACGCTTGGCTAATTTTTGTATTTTTAGTAGAGTTGGGATTTCGCCATGTTGGCCAGGCTGGTCTCGAACTCCTAACCTCAGGTGATCCCCGCCCACCCAGTTTTGTATTTTTAGTAGAGACAGGGTTTCATCATGTTGGCCAGGCTGGTCTTCAACCCCTGACCTCAAGTGGTCTGCTTGTCTTGGCCTCCCCAAGTGCTGGGATTACAGGCATTAGCCACCAGGCCCAGTCCTGGATTTCTGCTTTGATGTGTACCTGAGTCTCTGCTCACTATGCTTTAGGTCACTGTATAATTCCTGACTGGTAATTTTTTTTTTTTTTTTTTGCTTCTTTGCATGAGTATGGGCACAAGCCCTTTCTTGAGTGTCCCAGTGAAATGGCCAAAAGCTGGTCACAACACTGACAAAACTCTAATGAAGATTCAAGGACATTGGAAGGGGCATATAGAACATGTAACCTAAAAGCATTTCTAGATGAGGACCCTCTTAGCTCCATAGGCCTGCATCCATGAGGATGAGTCACAGATGATGTCCTCAATGCTGGTGATACTTGGAGGCCAGATTCAATTTTCAGAGAGAGAAAGGAATTTATCTGCTTTTCTAGACTCTGTCTTTTTAGATTCCATTTTTGGCCCCAGGATCTACTCTTTCTTGGAACAGCTGACAGTGAAAACATCTACTCCTTTCAAAGAAATCCCACAGGCAAGTGATCTTGACCAATGGCTCCCACCAGGGTAATTATGCCAAGTTACAATTATCCAGCATCTGCACACTGAGGGGTTTTTAGTTTGAGTAACATGGCATATCAGAGAAAGGTGGCAGTATTCCTGTCCAGGTTGAGCTGTGCTGAGCCCAGTTTAATTTGCTTTTAAAGCACTTGAAGATCATGCCTACTTATATTTCTGCCATCCTAGGGGTCTCATATCCTTATCTACATAATCAGCTCTCAATATACCTCCCCTTTCCCTGTCCCTGAACTTACCCATTTCCATTGGAAAAACAACAGTATTATTTAAATCCATGTATAGAAAAAAATTACTGTGAAAATAAACAATAAAGGCTTAGAGACATCACTCTGGAAAATATATTTTTACAATAATCTGCATCAACAACATATATAGTTTATCTTTTCAAACTCAATATCTACATTCACATAATTTCATAATTTCTCACTAAGGATGATGAGTGAGAGCATGTGATTAGACCAAGGGCTGATGTAAGTTTTTTTTTCCTTAAAAAAGGCAGCATCAGTTGTAATGGTGAATTCATGTCTTCTCCTTTAGGGAGAACAAAATGACCTGCAGCTACTTTCTCAGCTCTCATGATTTTCTTCCTCTTGTTTGCTTCTTTCTCCTCTCATTCTGTCCGCTTTCCCCCCTGCAAACTTTTTGTCTGTCCATGGGTTCTTTAAGTGGGGGACTAAACTAAGGGAACAACCTTCCATAGCAGTTCTTTCTCTCTCTTTTTAGTCTTTTTATTATGCAATATTTCAAATACACACAATAGTAGCATAGTAAAATATACCCTCATGTACCCATTAACCAACTTCAAAAGTTATTAAATTTTGCCAATCTTATTTCATCTATCCCCTCCCCCCATATCTTCATAGTCTGGTGGCATATTTAAAACAAATCCATGAAATATTTTACTCATAAATGCTTTACGATTGACATTTGAACAATATGGATTTGAACTGCATGGATCCACTTATATATATACTTTTTCGTTAAAAATTACACTGCGTGTGCCTGCCTGTCCTGCCTTCCTTTCTGTCTCTTCCACTTCTGCCACCCCTGAAGCAGTAAGACCAACCTCTCATCTTCCTCCTCCTCCCCAACTTACTCAACGTGAATATGATGAGGATGAAGACCTTTATGATAATCCATTTCCACTTAGTGAATAGTAAATATATTTTCTCTTTCTTATGGTTTTCTTAATAACATTTTCTTTTCTCTAGCTTACTTTATGGTAAGAATACAGTATATAACACATGTAACATACAAAATATGTGCTAATCGACTGTATATGTTATTGATGAGGCCTCTGTTCAAAAGTAGGCTATTAGTAGTTAAGTTTTTGGGGAGTTAAAAGTTATATGCAAATTTTCAACTGCATGGAATTTGGTACCCCTAACCTCTGTGTTGTTCAAGGGTCAATTGTAGTATGTTTATAATAGCTAAGGATTTAAAAACACCACTATAAATTAGCAAAGATTCCACAATACCATCTGATTAAATATATTTTTTTTAAGATTCCCACATTTGTCTCAAAATACCTTTTTACAATTGTTTTGTTTGATTTGGTATCCAAATAAGGTTCAGATGTTGAATTTGGCTGCTATTTTTCTGAGGTTCTGAAGTCTTTTTTGATCTCTAACAGTACCCCCCACCCCACTTTTGCATGTCATTTATTTCTTAAAGAAACTGGGACATTTTTCCTGTAACAGTTTTCTCATTTTGAAGTTGGCTGATTACATCCTTATAGGGTTATTTAACATCATCCTCAATTTTATGTATTTCTTGTAGACTTAGTATCTTGATCTAGAGGCTCAACTAGATTTAAATTCAATTACTCCAGCAAGAATAATTCACAGGTGGTAAAGCACAGAATGACTGGTTGTTCCACTTAAATGGTATTTTAAGGTTGATTAGTGGGTTCAGGTGGTATTAGCTGACTGTCTTTTGTAAAGTTCACCATCAATTGTCACTTACTGGTCTTAGCTCCCATTGAGATTCATATCCTTTATTCATTAGGGTTTACAAAATGGGTGATTTTCCAATGCCCTTATTTCTTCTGCATTATTAGTAGAATTTCTTCTATGAAAAAGAACATTCTTTCATCAGCTATTTGGTTGATAAAAACATTTAATAATCTAGGTGAAACATATATGTTTGCTCCTGGCATGCTGCTACTCCCAAAATCGGCTCTGAGGGACCTTCACAGCTCATAAGCCTAGTGGAACACACCGGCTGCTTTATTGCATTTCACCATTGACCACATTCTATTCCCTGGCAGCCTATTTTTTATAATCAACTGGTGCTGAAAGGGAAGTATAGGGCCCTGTGACAAAAGAGGCTTTCCCAGCCCAAATTATGGGGTAGAAGGTCTGCATTCTTTAGTTGCCCCCAAATTTTTGACATGTGAGTATCACAGTCCCCAGCATTGGGTATGTTTGTGAATTTCAGGGTCTTACTAGATGAGATAGGGATGCCATGAACTTTGCATAGTTGCTTAATACTGTCAGGAAAGCTCTCCGCCCAGGAACATTGGAGCTGAGGCTGGCAGCCTTCTGCTTAGTGATTTCTCTAAGTGGGAGGATTCCTGTTGCTGTAGGCTTTTAAAAGTGCCTTGATCTGTAGTTAAAGAGAAAATTCATTGCTCTATTAATGAGTAAATGTGACTCATAAACTCATATTCTGTATTATTGCAAGTAAAAAAGAGAACAAAATCTGTAGCCAGAAATTCAGCTGCTAATTTCATAAATTCATTGGTTAAAAATATTTCTTGCTCCAGAATGGAGCAATTAACAAGGTATCTCTTCGAAATTATAACGGATGTTCTTATCCAAATTCCTTTTCCCTAGTACACTGAAAAGCCCCAG
Organism: Homo sapiens; assembly: GCF_000001405.40. Taxonomy (NCBI): domain Eukaryota; kingdom Metazoa; phylum Chordata; class Mammalia; order Primates; family Hominidae; genus Homo; species Homo sapiens. The sequence goes on from NC_000009.12 coordinate 100,785,288, forward strand.
CATATTTCATTATGATCCTAGATATGCTAACATTAAACTCCTTTCTTGGAATTCTCCCTTTAGATGGTAGTAAGTTGAAAGAATGGTTGAAATACTCGTTCTCCAGAGACAAAATACTCTCTCCTACCACTGAGTCATACAGAGCTTGCTATTCAGTCATTTGAGTTCCACTTCTACTTGCTCTAGGACAGCTGTTAAAAGCTGAGCCCTAAGGTTTTAAGTGCCTCTGCCTATTTCTGTATTTGAATTAAATTGAAAAAAGTTCAAAAAAATTTGATTTCTATGTCTGTTTTTATATTTTTTGTGAATTTCTTTAGTAAAATTTAATATGGGGTTGAGAAAGGTTGATGTCTCTGCCATTGCTTGACCAATAATTCTACATGTACATTGAAAGCCTGTGAGCAAGATAAATATATTTTCCAGTTGCTTTTTCTAGAGTCTCTTCATCTGAGGCAGTAGGAAAAGGCATGAAAAATGACTGTGACAGGAAGTGGCTTTAGCATCCCCAAATGCCAATATTTTGGAACTGCTTGGAATTTATTGAAACAGAATCATTGGCAAGAAGTGCTCCATGCTGCCAACATATCCAATGGGCCAAGGCCCTATAAATCTATGAAATAAATAGCTGTCTGGTGGTATTTTTCACCTATTTATTAACTGTTGTATAAGTCTGTTTATTGCCATGGCAATATGAAAGTGGAAAAAAGAAAATTGTTGCCAGGTGGTTACAAAGTATAAAACTTCTTTTAGTCCTCCCTACCTTTAACATTTTTCTATTAGGTTGGTTTGTGGCTCTACTGGCAGTAACATGTATTTGAAAAAGGCATTTTTCCTTAAGAATTCTTGATGGCATCTGCCCCTGAGGACAGCAAGCGCCTACCTTAGAGGAGCTCATGTTGAAAACTGCTGAGACCTGACACCTTACAAACCAGAGGGATCTGGAAAGATTATTTAGGGATAAAAGTAATTTTTCTTTGAAAATTATACTTTGATAAAGAAAAGAAAAATGAATTTTCTAGAGCAATGTCTTAATACCTGATTGGATTTTCCTAAATACATTAGTATTGGGACTATAATATGTAGTAAGACTATTTATGTATCCTTTTCAAAGAACTTTCCCTCTTCCAAACTAAGCTTTCCTAATTCCACTATGACAAAGGTAAGCCTTATCTCTGTTTCCCAGACAAAAATGCTGAAGCTGTAAGTGTAGATGACTTAAGCAGATACAGATAGAATTACAACCACAATTAGTGTTTACTATATTCTTAAACCTGGGGCCATACTGTTAAGAATTTTTTTTGGTCTCCATTCTTTCCGACCAGTGTACACTACTATAAATATTAATTGATTATAATGAATACATTTTGAATGGTTTATACAGGGCTCAAATTTCAGTTCTCTTTGCATATCCAGTCATACTTTAAATTCAGTTCCCTTTGAATCATGAAAGATTGTATTGACTGCACTTGTAACCTCATGGTGGTTTTTTTTGTTGTTTGTTTTTGTTTTGGTTTAAATAAAAGTTCAACAACTCAAATGTTTATAGGACTGAGGCAGTGTAATTGAGTATAATGGATCTTTATGTAACACCACAGGGAGGTAGTGTGGCTTGTGGCTAATTAGAATGTTCCCTTAGTATTTAAATACAAAAATGTAGGGCAATGTTCAAATAAGACTTTTACTGAATTCAGCCAGTAGGTTCAGATTAGAATCTCCAGAAATATGTGAATGCTTAAAAAGTAATTTGCTTAATAAAAATATGACTCAGCAAACACACTTTCAGTTAGAAGTTGAATATGTTCTGGAGATCTAATGTACAGCTTGGGTGGTGATAGATGTGTTAATTTGGTTGTGGTAATCATTACACAATGTATACATCTATAAGAACCATGAATATATTCAATCTTTATTTGCCAATTAAATATTTTTAAAAACTAGGGATGGACCGGGCACAGTGGATCACGCCTGTAATCCCAGCACTTCGGTAGGCTGAGGCGGGTGGATCACCTGAGGTCAGGAGTTCAAGACCAGCCTGGCCAACATGGTGAAAACCCGTCTCTACTAAAAATACAAAAAATTAGCCGGGTGTGGTGGCAGGCGTCTGTAATCTCAGCAACTCAGGAGGCTGAGGCAGAAGAACCGCTTGAACCTGGGAGGCAGAGGTTGCAGTGAGCCGAGATCATGCCATTGCACTCCAGCCTGGGCAACAAGAGCAAAACTCCATCTCAAAACAAAAAAACAAACCCCAAAATACTAGGGATAACACTTCATGGGATGAACATGAGAATTACATTAAAGAAAACGTAGCATCATGAAGCATTTAGCACAGTGCCTGGCACACATAATAGTTGGTTAGTAAATGATAGCTATTATTATTATAAACATTCTTAAAATATATTTTCCTAAATCTAATCTTTCTTAGTAGAAAATTTTATTGTCTTTTTTTTATACTTTGCAAATTGTGGAGGTAATTTTGTAAGTTTGTGGCATGTCTCTTGGTAAACATATTTTCAAATCAAAAACAGGACAAGTGTGTATATTAGTTTCTTAAATCTTGAAAATTATATCAAATGAAATCATTGAAATATTTGAAAATATATCATTTTCTTAAATATTAAAGGAACATGGTTGATTATGCATTTAAAACTCACACATTTCATTGAATAAGATAAAATAAATGGAAAAATATCCTGTATTCATGGATTGGAAGAATATTGCTAAAATGTTCACACTACCCAAAGTAATACAGAGTCAATGCAATTCCTGTCAAAATTCCAATGGAATTCTTCACAGAAATAGAAAAAACAATTTTAAAATGTGTATGGAACCACAAGAGCCCTGATTAGCCAAAGCAATATTGAGATAGAAGAGCAAAGTTTGAGGCATCATACCTCCTGATTTAAAATTATATTACAAAACTATAGTAATCAAAACAGTATGGTACTGGCATAAAAAAGACCAGTGAAATAGAATAGAGACCCCAGAAATAAATCCAAATATATATGGTCAACTAATTTTCGACAAGAGCACCAAAAGGACACAATGGGGAAACGATAGTCTCTTCAATAAATGGTGCTAGTAAAACTGGATTTCCACATGTAAAAGAATGAATTTGGACCCTTATTTTACACCATACATAAAAATCAACTCAAAATTGATAAAAAACATAAATGTAAGCCCTGAAACCATAAAATCCTAGAAGAGAATATAAAGGGAAAGCTCTTTGACATTGACCTTGGCTTAATGCCACCAAAAGCTCAGGCTACAAAAGCAATAAATAAATAAATGACACTACATCAAACTAAAAAGCATCTGCACAGCAAAGGAAACAATCAAGAAAATGAAAAGGTAATCTATGGATTGGGAAAAGTTATTTGCAAAATACAGATCTGATAAGGGCTGAATAGCCAAAATTTATAAAGAACTCTTACAACTCAATAGAAGAAAAACAAATAACTGAATTTAAAAAAATGGCTAAAGGACCTGAAAAAACTTTTCACCAAAAAAGACATAAAAATGGCCAACAGGTATATAAAAAGGTACCCAACATCAGTAACCATCAGGGGGAAATGCAAGTTAAAACCACTATAAGATATCACTTCACATCCATTAGAATGGCTATCATAAAAAAGTCAAGAAGTAATAAATGTCAGCCAGGGTGTGGAGAAAAAGGAGCCCTAGTACACTGTTGGTGGGAAGGTAGCTTGGTGCAGCCCTTATGGAAAACAGTATGGAAGTTCCTAAAGAAATTAAAAACAGAGCTACCATATGACCCAGCAACCCCTATTCTGAGTATATATCCAAAGGAGAGGAAATCACCACCTTGTAAAGATATCTGCACCCCCACGTTTATTGTAGTATTATTCACAATAGCCAAGGTATGGAAATAACCTGTGTTTGTAGATGGATGAATAGATAAAGAATATGTAGTATATATATATATACACATACACACACACACAATAAAATATTTTATATTCAGCTTTAAATAAGAAGGAGATTTTGCCATTTGCCACGACATGGATAGATCTGGAGGACATTATGCTAAGTGAAACAAGCCAGGCACAGAAAGAAAAAGATTGCAAGGTTTTACTTTTATGTGGACTCTTAAAAACGAAAAGATCAAACATACAGAGACAGAGAATCAAACAGTGGTTATCAGGGGTGTGGGTGAGGGTAGGTGGGTGGGAGAAAATGGGGAGATGTAGGTCAAAGGATAGAAAGAAGAAGATATGTAGGATCAACAAGTCTAGAGATCTAATGTACAGCATGAGGACAATAGTTAATAAAATTATATTGTATTAAGGATTATTGTTGAATAAGTAGATTTTAGATGATCTTATCACAAATAAGTAACTGTGAGATAAGAGACATGTTAATCTGTTTCACTACAGCAACCATTTTACTATCTATATATATATACCCTATAACATCATGTTGTGAAACTCAAGTATACATGATAAAATTTACATATATTTAAAAACCACAACACTTTGGATTAAGAAAATGTGACACATATACACCATGGAATACTATGCAGCCATAAAAAGGATGAGTTCATGTCCTTTGTAGGGACATGGATGAAGCTGGAAACCATCATTCTCAGCAAACTATCGCAAGGACAAAAAACCAAACACTGCATGTTTTCACTGATAGGTGGGAATTGAACAATGAGAACACTTGGACACAGGGAGGGGAACATCACACTCCGGGGCCTGTTGTGGGGTGGGGGGAGGGGGGAGGGATAGCATTAGGAGATATACCTAATGCTAAATGACGAGTTAATGGGTGCAGCACACCAACATGGCATATGTATACATATGTAACAAACCTGCACTTTGTGCACATGTACCCTAAAACTTAAAGTATAATTTAAAAAAAAATCCACAACACAAGGTCACACATTTCAGAGGAATATCTATTACATGCTCAGTATTGGTTGTGATAAAGCCAAGCTATGACTCAGCCTTTAAAATTAATTTAAAATAATTTTAATTCTCCATTTTCCACCTTCCAAAAATTTGTTGACACCTTGAATCTACCTGTGTTGTCTCTTTTCCTGTTATCTTTATTAGTATGGTTTTCTCTATTGCTCTTTCAGTCCTTATGGAATTTTACCTTTTAATTTTCTCTATTCTCATTAGCAGAGTTTCAGGACTAAGCCAGAGATAAGTACATGTGCTCAATACACAGTGACTAACAAGATGTCCTTCATGGAAAGTCTTTTGTGTCTAGGAACAACTCATACACATGATGATGGATACTCATGAAAAGTGTTAGAACTCAAGTAAAAGATATTCAGACTGAGGCTCAACCCAGAAGTAAGACTGGGAGTCTGCAGGTCCAAAACAGCCTCGAGATGTACTTTGTTTGGATATACAAAGTCTTTATTTAATATGCACTGTTTTAAAAATGGGGGAGATTTCAAACTATAGCCAAGAATTCAGACATCTTTAAAACAAATCAGAAAATCTTGTCTCAGGTTATTGCATGGTAACAATTGGCTAGATATAAGGGGTGACTTTTGCTACCTGGTGCATTTGCTACCTGGCTTGCCAATTGCCCTCAAGTCTGCTCCACTTAAAGCTCTGAGGCTTTTGATTTTACCCTCCATTCCATCCCCAGAAGAGTGTTTCCTGGATTTAGGAAATTCATGACAGGTTATACACTTGTGTGCTATCCTCTGCCTACCTAAAGATGTCACCACTAATCCTTTTTAGTAAAATATATCATTCTCCTCCTCATTTATTTTATATAGTTGGGTTTCCATTCTTTGCTATATCTCCTTTTGAAATAATTGACTGTAAATGTTTTCTTGTGATAATGAGATAATGATAATACCATTACATAGGACAAAATATCGAAAATAAATACGTGGGAAATGCTTAACTTTGTTAATAATAATGTATCATTTTGTGCCTTACTGGACACTTCTATTCTACACTCCTCACCCTAAAAAATCCAAAGAGAAACAAACAAAAAAAATCAGCACAAAACTGACAAGATTATGATAAAACCAACACATTCATATATTGCTGAGGGAAATATAAACTGTTGCCTCTATTTGGGAAAACAATTGGGTAACATATACTTGTATTTTAAAAGAATATGTAAGCCATGTGCATGAAAGCGGTTTTGAAAGTTTAGGATAACAGGCCGGTTGCGGTGGCTCACACCTGTAATCCCAGCATTTTGGGAGGCCGAGGTGGGTGGATCACCTGAGATCAGGAGTTTGAGACCAGCGTGGCCATGGTGAAACCCCGTCTCTACTAAAAATACAAAAATTAGCTGATCTGGTGGCACGTGCCTGTAATCCCAGCTTCTTGGAAGGCTGAGGCAGGAAGAATCACTGGAACCTGGGAGGTGGATGTCGCAGTGAGCTGAGACCAGGCCAGCCTGGGCAACAGAGTGAGACTCTGTCTCCAATAAATAAATAAATAAATAAATAAATAAATAAATAAATAAATAAAATAGAAAGTTAAAGATAATAGCAAGAAGGGGAAATTTAAACATTCAACGAAAGAAAATGATTAGGTAAATTGTGGTCCAGTTATACAGAGGAATATTATGGATTTATTAAAAAATATAACCAAAAGTCTGTTATATGTCAGATATATGAGAAAAACATGGTGAAAAAAATCGGATTATTTAATTGTATGCTTAAACTTTTTACAATTTATACAAAAAAGCATACAAAGACCAGAAAGTCATTTGTCTGATTTTAAATGTAATATCAAGTAAAAATGTAATGTATTTATTTTTAGAAGTTATAAAATAAAGTAAAGCATATAGAATAAAATAAAAACCAGTCTTAACTTTATAACCCTAAAATAACACTTTGATATATGTATGTCTATGCGTATTCTTCTATTACAGCTTCTTTGAGGTATAATTAAATATGATAAACTGTACATAAAGTGTATAATTTATAAGTTTTGATACATATACACACAAATGATACGTATATCACTGCAAGTAAGCATGTCTTTCACTTCTAAAACTTTCCTTTTGCCCCTTTATAATTCCTTCCTCCCATCCTAACATTGAGAAGCAGCCAGTGATTTCTGTCATGATAGATTGGCTTGAATTTTCTAGAATTTTATACAAAAGAAATTATATGTGCACTCTTTTTTGTCTGGCTTATTTCAATCAGCATAATTATTTTGAAATTCACCCATGTTGTGGCCTGTATCAATTTCATTGTATAGATTTATCACTTGTTTATCTATCTACTTGTTAATGGACATTTGGACGATTTGAGGTCTTTGGATGTTACAGATAAAGTTGCTATCGACATTTGTGTACATGTACTTTCATTTTCTTGGGTAAATATCTAGGAATGTAGTGGCTGGATCATATAGTAGGTGTATGTTTAACTTTTTAAAAAATTGACAAAATATCTTCCAAAGTGGTTATACCATTTTATATTCCTACCAGTGATTTGTCAGTTCCAATTCCTCCACATGCTTGCCAAAAGTTGATATGGTCAGTCTTTTAAATTTTAGTCCCTCTGAAAGGTGTGTAGTATCTATATTGTCATGGTTTTAATTTGCATTTCTTTAATGACTGCTGATGTTGAACATCTTTTAACATGTTTATTTACCATCAGTCTATCTTTTTTGGAGATGTGTTTGCTCAAATCTTTTGCCCATTTATTGTTATTAATTTCTTATTATTGAGTTTTGACAGCCCTTTGTGTGTTCTGGAAACAAGTTCTTTATCAGATATGTTATTTGCAAATATTTTCTGCCATTCTGCAGGATATCCTTGCATTCTCTTAACAATGCCTTTCGAAGTCAAGGCCTTAATTTTGAGGAAGCCCAATTTATTAATTCTTTCTTAAGTGGACCATGCTTATGATGTTGTATCATAGTTACTTTCACCCAACCCAAAGATTTTCCCATACAAATTTTACAGTGTTAGGTTTTACATTTATATCCATTTCAAGTTATTTTTTGCATGTGATTTGAGTTTTGAATTGATGCTGATTTTTTTTTTTTTTTAAATAGAGTCTTGCAATGTCACCCAGGCTGAGTGCAGTGGCAAAATGACGGCTCCCTGCAGCCTTGAACTCCCAGGCTCAAGCGATCCTCAGCATCAACCTTCCAAGTAGCTGGGACTACAGGCATGTGTCACCAAGCCTGGCTATTTTGTTTAAATTTTTGTAGGGGTAGAGTCTTGCTTGCTTTGTTGCCCAGGTTAGTCTCAAACTTCTGGGCTCAAGCGATCCTCCCACCTCAGGCTTTCAAAATGCTGGGATTACAGGCATGAGCAACTACAGCCAGTTGAAGTTGATTTTTTAAATATGGATTTCAAATTGTTCCAGCACCATTTGTTGAAAAGTCTGTGCTTTCTTTACTGGATTGTCTTTGTATCTTTGTCAAAAATCAACTGATGATGTACGTGTGGATTTATTACTGGACTCTTTATTCCGTTTCACCTATTTGTTGATCCTGATGCCCCACCACAGTGTCTTGACTACTGTAGGTTTGTACTAAGTTTTAAAGTCAGGCTATGTAAGTCCTTTAACTATGTTCTTCTTAAAAGCTTGTTTTGGTTATTCTAGGCCATTTGCACTTCCTTACAAATTACATAATTGGCTTGTCAAATTCTATAAGGATGTCTCCTGGAATTTTGATTGGGTTTGCGTTGAATCTATACATCAATTTGAAAAGAATTAACATCTTAATATTAAGTCTTCGGATCCATGAACACAGTATATCTTTCTATTGATTTACGTCTCTTTTTTAGTTTCTCTTAGCAATGTTTTTGTAGTTTTCAGCATGCAAGTCTTGCATATCTTTTATCAGATGTTTTAAGTGTTTCACACATTTTGCTGCTGTCGTAATGGAAATTAAAAAATTTCCATTTCTAATTATTTGTTGCTAGTATATACAAATGCAGTTGGGTGCTGAATATTGAACTTGATAAATTTACTTAGTAGTAGTCCCCTTCCCTTTCCCTCCTCTCCCCTCCCCTCCTCCTCTCCTCTCCTTTTTTCTCCTCTCTTCTTCCCATATTGGGATTTTCTACATAAACAATCATGTTGTCTTGGGATAAAGACAGTTTTACTTCTTCAGTTAGAACATCTTGTACCATGTTAATAGGCATGGTAAGAGTAGACATTCTAAGTTTATTCCTGATTTTAGGGGAAAAACTGTTATATTTTTCTTCGTTATAATTTACAAAAGTTGCTTATTCCTGGAAGTAACAATTAGGTCATGTTTTCAGCAATCAATATATGTGTTTAATATAATTTAGCTTTGAAACCAATTTTACCGTAATTAATAAGAGAGATGCTGGAATTTGTTCTCTTTCAGGATGTAGCAGAATGCATGTAAATATTTAAGGATAGGGAGGCAAGATAGTAACTACTTTCTGATAATAAACATGTCTTTTTTATTAAAAATGTAAATTATGTTTGAAGGGGCTAGCAGTAATATATTAATAAAGTAGTATTTGTAGTAGCTGAGGATCAGTTGAAATTGGGCAGAAGTACTGATTCTCATGGGATTAGCAAAAATTTTTGCTCCATAACATTCACATTCTACTGGACAAAAGACAATAAGACTGTCCAAATCTACAAAGCTGCTCTTTTCTAGGCTGCATACTTCAAATGCTGACCATGGTAGCAGACCCTGATTTGAGCCTAAGAAATCTTTGTCATGAGCCCGGATGGGGAAAACCTACTTCATAACATTTCTTTGTCCTTGGAGTTTTGCTGTCAGACCCAGCAGAGTTCAAACATTTACTGAAGAGTAAAACGATATTTTCTTCGTATGGTTTTCTCATCCTTGGTAACCATGGGGTTTGTCATCTATCAACAAGGATCGCTTGCACTGTCCTTGAAAGGCACTTTGGCCCAGAGGATAAAAAGCTCTTAAAAACACTGCCTAGAATTCATCATATATAATTGAAACTTCTGGTAGTTCCAAGAGGATTATTTAAAGCGCTGTCAGAGATCTCCAAGAAGCTAAAAAACACTGCATGTGACACAATGTCTGCACCAGCTAAAAAGGCTCAACTATTGGAAGGTCTCCTCTTGATTATGAGAATATTAACTGAGGGTGTGGCTATCTTGTATGCAAGAAATGAGTAAAATGAGTCAAGCTCTCCTCTCCCTATCGTCACCTTATACTTTGTCTTTCAACTCTTGGTCATCCTTCAGGTCTGTCTGCAACTCCTTCCTCAACAAGGGTTGGAAGATCCTCCTTTCTATTATATTAGCAACTAGTGCTTCCCTTAACACACAATTGCTGTCTGTATTAAAATTGCCTCTCCACTTGTTTGATTATCCCACTAAGCTAAAAAGTATTTGAGGTTCCTTACTCTATCCAACTGATTCATCATTCTGCCACTAGCAACCAGCCACTGTGCCTAGCCTATAGTTGGCACAGAATAGACACTTGTTGGATGAATGAAGCAGCAACAGTGCCTAGCCTATAATTGGCACAGAATAGACACTTGCTGGATAACATATGAATGGATAAGTGCATAGAGCAGTCCCTGAGTGGGTAGCAGTATTTTAATTCTCAAATAAAAGAAATAAGACAAAGTTCTCCTTGCTTATGGATTGATTTCATTGATGAAGGATGAGCGTTTGAAAAGTAAGTAAAGGAATAACTCCAGAGTTTAGAAAGACAGGAAGACAACCGTTGCTAAAGATCAGAAGAGGCTATCCTAGGAATTATGAAGGTTTGCAGTGAGGTGACCTATTTGTGACTGGGGGTCCAGAACATGACTTAAGCATGGCTTCTGTAATCTCAAGTATAGATATAGTTGTGATCTAATCAGCAGGTTGATGCATGGATGTGGGACACTATGCTAACGATGCCATCTGTTACAAAACTTTAGAATGTTCTGACAAAAAAGGGAAGGGAATGCTGCTTGTTCCCATTTGTAAGTAACCATTTATTCATACAATAGTGGTCACCTTGAAATGTTTCTTACCTTTCTCAACCATGCCATTGTAGTTTGGGGCATTATAAGTTAGAGAGCTGGTGCTCTTTTGGTATCTTTAAG